>NT_187545.1:0-205944 GCF_000001405.40 Homo sapiens | reverse complement strand
AAATGTAGGTTAATCCAAAAAAATTTAATTTAAATTTGATGAAGTAACAAACATATAGTAGAAAAATTAAAAAGCAAAAATTTATTTCCCTAAAAAGACGAATAATTTTTATAAACTCCCTATAACAATTGCTAGGATCAGGCCAGAAAAGAGAAATGAATAATATAAGAAATTTTTAAAAAGGTACATCCCAACAGACATTACATATATTAAAAAGATAAAGACATACAATTTTTTGACCTATATACCAATATATTTCAAAATTTAGAAGAAATTGTCAAATTCCTAGAAAAATATAGCTTACCAAAACTCATTGAAAAAAATCTATTTGGAATATATTGTATCTATTAAAGAAATTAAATCTGTCATTAGGAAACTTGCCACAAAGAAAACTCTAAGCCTGTATGGCTTCACCAATATGTGAATTTTTCAAATGATTCCTTAAAAGAATGGTAAAGTAAGAACTATAACTGTCAATATTCACAGACAATGTAAACCATCAAGGGGGGAACTACAGAGCAACCGAACTGAATAGAAAGTTGAAAACCAGACCGACTCGATACTCAGTCACTTGGGTCACGACGTAGGTACCACCTGAGAGTGGCTGAAAAGAGTAGTCTTTTCATTAAGTGGTGCTGGATCAATTACATATTTATATGTAAAAAAAGAAAAATAAACTTTGACCTTCACATCACACACACACACACACACACACACAATTCTAGCTGGAATATAGATCTAAATTTGAAAGATAAAATAATTAAAAATTCTGGAGTAAAACATAGGAAAATATCTTCATGGTAATGGGCTTGAAATTATACTCTGTGTGATTCGTATCAATGAATAAACACTTTCTTTAAATAAAGTTTTATTCAAATTAAAAGCCATCAGGGATCAGCTACAGAATTTTTTTAAAAAGAAGGAAAGAAAGAAAAAGAAAAGAAAATATTTCGGCTGGGTGCAGTGGCTCACACCTGTAATCCCAGCACTTTGGGAGCTGAGGCAGATGGATCATGAGGTCAGGTGTTCGAGACCAGCCTGGCCAACATAGTGAAACCCCATCTCTACTAAAAATACAAAAAATTAGCCGGGCATGGTGGCGGGCACCTGTAATCCCAGTTACTCAAGAGGCTGAGGCAGGAGAATCGCTTGAACCTGGGAGGTGGAGGTTTCAGTGAGCCGAGATTGTGCCACTGCACTCCCGCCTGGGCAACAGTGTGAGACTCTGTCAAAAAAAAAAAAAAAAAATTCAAATTAAGGTCTACTTCAAGAAAACCACAAAGGTGAGAGATTTATTCAGAATTCAGCAGTCTAAGATTGGAAAGGAAACAGTAATAGTATTTAAGAAAAAGTAAATGCACAAGAAATTGATTTCCAACATTTTCCATTTTTTAAAATACTCACAGACAGGCAGAATACTTCCACCATACTGCCCTCTATGCCTATCAAAGAAAAATAATGAGCCAGAAAAGATTAATAGAAATAGGGATATCTTTAGGGAGAAAAAAACCCTTTCTTTAATAATAAAATAGAGTGTAAATCCAGCAATGCAGGCATCTCCAGTGCTGTCAATGAACTTACTTCATTTTGGAGATTAGAGGAAGAAGCAGGCTGACAGTGGCTAAGCATGAGTATTTACTGAGGCTCAGCCTCAAGAGGGTATATTTTATACTATAAAGCACCAATATACAGATACCAATATGGTTGTAGGCATGGGTTTCAGAAGGCGTGTGTGTGTCAGTATGGATGGAGATACAGTTGTGCTCCACACAGTGACATTTCGGTCCACGATGGACTCTGCATATACAATGCTGGTCCCATAAGATTGTAACAGAATGGGCTTAAGCAGGTCTTCTGTTTTTTAATCTTTTATATCAAATTTGTACTGTACCTTTTCTACGTTTAAATACACAAATACTTATCATTGTATTACAATTGCCTGCGGTATTCAGTGCAGTAACCTGCTGTACATGTTTGCAGCCCAGGAACAATCGTCTATACCATATTGCCAAGGTAACTGATGGGCTACACCAGCTAGGTCTGTGTAAGTACACTCTGTGATGTTCACCAACAAAATTGCCTAATAATGCATTTCTCAGAACATATCCTCATCATTAACGAATGCATGTCTGTATAGAGATGTAATGTGCTAACTCTGATAGCCTAGAGTGGTGAGGTTGGATGAGGTTCCTGAAAGGGGCTGAATGATAGAATGAAGATGTTTCTCTCCTTTCACACTACTTATATCTTAATTATAAAAGTTTGATATTATTTTTAAGTCAAAACATTCCCTATTCAAAATAATCTATATCAAAACAGGGTTACTAGAAAAATGCAAAGTTCCCAAGGTAGTCAAAACAACTTTGCAAAACAACAAAGTTGAGGATCTTGCACGTATAGCAATCAATAATCATTATAAAGGTACAATAATCAAGACAATGTGATATTTGCCTCAAGACCAACAAATACATCAATAAAATAGAAGAGAAAGTTTAGAAACAGACCTACACATATATGATCAATTCATCTTTTATAAATGTACAAAGGCAGCTTAATAAAGAAAAATAGTATTTTTAACTAGTACTAGAACAACTGGATACCAATATACAAAAGCAAAAGCAAACAAACCAAAAAGACTTTATACCTAACATAACATGTGAAAGTTAATTCAGAAAGGACTATAGAACCAAGGTAAAGCCTAAAACTATCAAACTTCTAGAATAAGCTGTATAACAGAAACTTTATTACTTTGGGTTAGAAAGGTTGCTTCATAGAAAAACACAATCCATAGAAGAAAATAGTGATAAAAGAAATTTCGTAAAAATAAGAACACCTGCTCTTCAAGAATATCGTTAAGAGAAAGAAAAGATAAACCACAGACCATGAAAAATAGGAATCATATATCTAACAAATTCATTGTATCCAGAATAATCTTCAAAAATTGATAAGATCAAACCCATAAAAATTAGACAATAGACAAAAGATCTGAACAGATGGTATGCCAGAGGCATGCCATGACAAATAAGCCTATGAAAGACATTTAGTATTATTAGTCATTAGGGAAATGTAAATAAAAAACCACAATGAGACACTACTACATACCTATTAGAAAGGAAAAAATTTCAAAGCGTAATCATACGAACTGTTGATGAAGATGTGGAGGAACTGGAACTCCTATATTCTGCTAGTGAGATTGTACATAGTATGTTTACTTTAGAAAGTGGTTTGGCAGTTTCTTTAAAAGTTAAACATATGCCTGTTACAGGACTCAGCTGTTCCACAATTAGGTGTCTACCAAGAGAAACAAAAGTGTATCTCTGTTCAAATAGTTGTACATGTATATGTGCACATACAGCAGATGCATTCGTGATAGCCAAAAGTTGGAAACAACTAAAATGTCCATAAACAGGTGAATGGATAAACAAATTGTGATATATCAAGGGAGTACTACTTAGCTAAACAAAGGAGCAAAAAAATGAATGTTCAAAAGAATGATGAATAAACCTCCAAATAATTATGCTGAAAGCAGCCAGTATATACCGCATGTATACAGTAAATATATTTTCTATAATTTGGGGATTTATATAAATTTATGTAAAATTTATATTAATTCTACAAAATACGGTCTATAGTGACAAAAGAGTTCAGTGGTTTCCTGAGGAAGGAGGTGGGACTTGGGACTGTGTGATGGGAGGGCCTTCAGGAAACTTGTTGAGGTGAGGGATATGTTTGCTATTTTTATTTTCAGATGGTTTCATGATTGTAGATTGGATCCGTTTCCTGGGGCTATTTCACCACAAACTGGTTGGCTTAAAACAACATGAATTTATTGCCTTACAATTCTGGAGGCTGGAAGCCCACCATCAGCGTTGTTGGCAAGGCGATGCCAGTCCGAGGCCTCCACGAGAGAATCCTTTCTTGCCTCTTCTAACTCTGGTGGCCGCAGGTTCTTCTTGACGTGTGGCAGCATCACTCCACCCCCTGCCTCCTTGTCATGTGGCGTTCTTCCCTCTGTGTCTGTATCTGTTTGCCAGTGTCTTTCTTATGATGACACCCCTCATTTAGGATTAAGGGGATTAAGGGCCCACTCCACTCCACTACAACCTCATCTTAGCTAATTATACCTGCAATGACCCTATTTCCAAATAAAGGCCCTATTCGCAAATGAGAAACAGGGTTTAGGACTTTAACATATCTCGTGAGGGACATAATTCAACCCATTATATGTGCTTATGTCGAAGCCCATCAAACTGTACACTGTACCATGTGTGGTTTATTTTAGGTCAGTTAGACCTAAATAAGTCTGTTAGGAATTTTTGAAAAAACACAAGGTTTTTATAAGCAAAATATATAATAGTAGGACAAACTGTAAATCAGATTTTTTAAAAACGCTACCCTGCAGTGTAACAGCATCACGTGCATCACACAGAAGAAACTGAAAAAAAAAAACCATACAGGGCACAAAAAAAGAGTGACATCATTAGAGAATTCCCCAGGAGAGGAGGGAAATCTGTCAGGAAGACAGAGTCTTATGATTTTGTCCATGGGTGTCCCAGTACATGTGCGATGCAGGACAGGCTTACTGCTTGAAAAATATTCAGCTAAAAGAGGGTCCTATACAACACAAAGTTTTGAAAGCACATAACAATACTCTATGTGTTCAAATTTCAAAGGGTTCTCTCAGGGCATAGAATGTATTTCAAACTTCTACATAGAGGAAAGAAATTGGCATATTTAAGTATCTTTAAACATTAGCACCTGTAAAATAAGAAGGTAAATTTATATACAGAAGTTGGGCCCACAGTGACCATTAAAATAGTTGTATATAATTTATGAATACATTTTAGAATTTGGAAGAGTTAACTCTAAAATAATTGAGAGAGTTTTTAGTTGATCCAAAAATTTTAAATTTTCTTAGATAAAGTATATTTAGAAAATGACTCATATCAGTAAATGTGCCTTAATTAGACACCACCTGGAAAGATTAAGATTATTTTACACCAAACAATACAAAAATCACAAGAAAAACAAATTAAATATAGGTAGTTTAAAGCATATTCCAAGCATTATCTAGATTCCATTTCTAAGAAATATTTTACATCATAAATGATTGCTCACTTCCAAACTGGATTTGTTTTTTCTTCTTGATCATTATTAGCGGTATCTTTCCAGGTATAATTTCCAAGCCCTTTTTCTTCCCAAGAGCTCCTCTGTTCTAGTTTATGATGTTACCTCTAAAATGTTCGCACATCTGCTGACTTAGCTCCTGACTGGTAGTTAATTTATTATCTTATCACAGTCAGTCTGGCTTGGCTCAGTCATTACCAAGTCTGCAACTGTACTCTGAGCGAAGGAAAGCCTGGTTTATCTCGGTATCCTTGCATTCAGCGCAATGTGAGGCCGGGAGACACACTTTCTTCTGAATGAGGTGGAGCCGGGCTGAGGAGCGTTGGCTCTCGCCTGATGGGAGGCCTAGTGCAGAGCCCGCCAGGCTGGTCTGGGGTAGCCTGTGTGGGACTACACAGGGGTGTAGTCTTCAGCACTAATCTCTGGATTTATCTTTATGAAATGTCATTCCATGTTCCACGTGCCACTTTCGCTGGGCAAAAATCTTGTAAGGGTTGTCTAAGAGTAAATGAAAAAATATATATGTTATCTTCATCAGTCTTAGGAGACGAATTTTTGATTTATCATTCTTTTCTCTGCTCCTAGTTCTCCCAACGAAGCTTCAGTGATCATGAAAGTCAATTTATTCCAATTCTTATGCGTTTACCAATGGCTAACAGTCCTGGGGGCTCCTTTAAGATGACATTAACTGTAATTATCTGGTCTCAAGTGAGTAAGACATTAATTACTTTTGAAATAAGGTGCCTGAATTATATACATTGAACATACATCCAATTTATTTTACTCACAAAACAACTAAGGAAAACATTCAGTGACAGAAATACAATGTATAGTCTAATTTGGTATGCAACGAATATTTTCAGCCAAGCTAATCCAGTCTCCTAGAGAAAAGACTCATCTTGTCACCAGCACAACAGGTCAATAACCATATTTACATTTCTCATATGGCCCCTGCTATGCTCGCCAAGAATAAAATCACCAGTAGATATTAAATACTTAGGCATAATGAGGTTTAAAAATATAATATTCTATTTATCTATTTCTTAAAGCAAGCATGTAAGCTATTTCTGTGTTTTTTCACTAATTAAAAAAAATTAGGTACAGAGAGCTCAGGAATTTATCTAAACACAACATAAATTACAGCCGGTACTAAAACTAAGAGTTGTGGCAAGTCCTTGTATGAAGCCTGCAGTTTAGTGTGGAACTATAATTACACCTGAGCTTGATACATAGGAAAGCAATTTTGTCTTTTTTTTTTTTGTCATCTTCATTGGGTTTCTAGTCCTTGTCTGATAAAAAGTTCGAAATTGAAAGATTAAATTTCATGTTTTTCTGTTGTATTTTTGCCTCCTTTTCTTTTTGTTTTCTCTTTCTGACTGCCTGATTTAATCCGGTAGTTGGCTATCATACATGTGTATGTCTGTGTGATAGCAAATGAGTGACTTTTCATTCCTATGGGTAGTAACTATTTTTCCATTTGTTTTGTAGAAATGGGTCTCATGATGTTGCCCAGGTTGGTCTCGATCTCCTGTCTTCAAGTAATCCTCCTGACTCGGTCCCCAAAGTGCTGGGATTACAGGCATGAGCCACTGCGCCCGGCCAGTATTAACCTTAATGTGTTTCATTTTAGATTTCTGTTCTCCCTTGGGCCACGTTTTATGTACATACTCTGACTCAGTCACTTTGAAGTCTGCAAATTGTCTCACAAAACTGCATGTGGCTCCTTACAGATTGAATCTTTCTTCCCCATGTCTCCCAGGGATAATTTCAAAACATTGATCAGAAGTCACAAGCTGGCGGCCCATGAGCCAAATCCATTCATCAGATGTATTTCTATTGCGTGGTTACTGTACATTGTATAGTTTTTTTCTACAGTATGTTTGAATCATTTCATATTTAAAAATTAGGAAATTTCCTGTAGTAGCCACACTTCCTGGCTTTTTCTGGAAATGTGTGAGATTCAGCAATACAGATTTTACTTCCTATAAGGCAGGAATCTTCTGCAGGTGAGTAGTGACTGACCCAGGGCAAGTACACATCAATTTATCACATACACCAACAATCGCTATTTTTCTGACCTTGACCCACTTCATTCACACATGACGTGCCTGTTCAAGCAGCCAGTGGAAAGTGCACCGTGTGGTTAATATGCAACAGAAAGCAGGTGTGTGGCAAATTCTAAAAGTTCTCTCTCCTCACTCTTGAGTTTCACGCTGGGGAACTCATTTCCGAGTAAACATGCCTTTACTCAGCCTCTCTTCTTTCTACTGAGATGGGGTTATCGTTAAGTTCAGGGCTGGTTTCTGGCAAAATTCTGAAGCTGTTTAAGTTTACTTTATATTATCCCCCTTCTAATTTCTATACCCATTGCAAACTATTTTAGTGTATGTGTATATGTATGACATAGATGTAGGTATTTCATGTGTATTCAAACCCACATTCTATTTTTGTTTCTGTGCCCTAATATTTGAATTATAAAATAATGTTGGACCAGGAAAATACCTAACAAAAAGAGATAAATCACTAATAAACCTGAAGAAATATGGCAAGAGACCAAATGGTAGAGAGAGAACAACAGGTCTTCAGGAGTCTGTAAATGGTACATAATAGATGTGTGCTGTTGACCACCTTGCTCTGAGTTTAAATCTTTCTGTTGTTGAAATATGTGGTTAAATAGGGTTAAATGAACCCAAAGGAAACATCATAGCAACGTTGATGACCCCTATGTTGACATAAATGGTGCCCAAGTTATTTCCTGAGGTCAAGGTCCCTGATACCCATTCAAAAATTGTATTTAATGAAATGGAGTCTAGGGCCCTCCGAGGCCTTGAGTTTGTCATAGTTCCCCAGAAATGTCAATATAGGAGGAACTTTACAATGAAATGATCTTCGATTTGATTCGGAGGGTTATCCTCCTGGCATTGGTGAAGTCAGGAAATTCAGAAATGTCACAGAAATGATTGAAAGGTTCTGAAATCAACTGAGGTTGAGATGTGCTGGGGTGGAACTCAGGCTCAACTGTGCTCTGGAGAGTGCAGATAGTAAAGAACGCTGCCTCAGATGACTGTCCACTTGTGTTTACAGCAAAAGAGCTCAGAAATCACCAAGAGGGCTGGGCAGCAGAGTGTGGAGGTCCACTGGATTGGATTTAGAGGGTGGGGATGGGGTCATGTGGCCATGAAAGATAAGTCAAAGGGAACATGGAGGACAATCAGTAGTGATGAGAGGAAATAGCTCCTATGTCACGGGATCATGAGATGGGGTTTGTGTAGATGAGCCACTTAACCAGAAGCTTAAGGGACTTAAAGCCATATGCAAATTTCCTCCTCTTCCTAATCCTCCTCCTATTCCTCGCCCCGCCCCCCGTTCCTATTCCTCCTAATTCTCATCCTCCTCCTATTCCTTCTTCTCCTCCTCCTATTCCTTTTCCTCCCCACCCCTCTTTCTTCCTTTCCTGTTTCTTCTTCCATATTGAGAGCTCAGCATTTATACAAATACTACATGAAAAGGCCTCAGTTCCTTAATGAATTAGAATCCCAAACCTGAAGTGTAATGGGATTTGGATAAAGGAACTACAGGGTGTCTATGGCATCCTAGCACCCAGAAGAGCAGGTACTGGGCTAATTCTGTGAGACTGAGGAACTGTACATCCTAGAGGGAATTACATGAATGTTAAACTTAAGTCTTTAGATGAATCCTACAAAATACTGGAGGACTGTGCTTGGACTCATGGATACAATTTTACTTGGTTTCCACTAAATGATGTACCTGCCTGATGAACAATGAAAATCAGCACTCTGAGAAAACCTCCTTTGAATAAAATTTGAAAGCTTTTATCTATATAAAACTAGCTGTTTATTAATTAGAAAGGTAAATATGGATTAAACATATCTATATTTGCATTACAAGACAAAATGACATCAAAGTAAGACAGGGGAAAGGAAAGTTCATAAAGCTCAGTTTAGTTTTCCTCACGTGACTGAAATTTGTTTTTGTTACTGAATGATGAAGCCTCTTTGACTTTCCCATACACTATGGCTGTGAATAGCAGAAGCCAGAGTCAGCCCTCTCCCATCTGAAGTTCTGCTCTTGGCCATGAGTAACACTGCATCACGGCAAGGTGCAGCAGCATCAGTTTCACCTGGGAACCTCAGAGCCAGAGACCAAACCATCCCAGAATCTGGAGGGACTGAGAGTGTCTCTTTTTCCCAAATCCGCGTTAGATCTGCCTGCCAGGGTGAAGGCTGACCTGCTGAAGGTGGCCTGCCATCCCGGCCGGCCGGCCGGCCTCCTGCTGGCCCCCTCAGGCTGCCTCCTTTTAGCTTTTCCCAGTGCTCATTTCTCTTTACTCTGAATGCTCAGGTGCACACCTAAACCCTCCCGACCTCATATCTCCCTTGGCCCTGCATTCTAAGCAGCAAAGCGTCAGCGCTCAGCTGCTCTCAAGAGTGTTTTTAATGGGATCCTCTTTGATGCCTTTGATGAGATTTGAACAGTGTATAACAGTTTTTAAATTTTCTATATCATCTTCTTACAGCATTTATCTCCTCTTCTTTCCATTGCCCTAAGGAACATGCGGTCCTGGCTGCAGTCTATACTGGCTCCAGATCTACCTTCTTGTTTCCTAACACACTTCCTCCTGTCTACAATGGCTCTTATTACTACTTCTCTGGGATTTGACTGTAGATGATTTTGTAGAGCACTTGTGTACGCAATTTGAGAAGAAATGAATGGAAGGAGATGATGTCTGAGGTGCAGGCAAAGGAAACGCCACAGAAGTTAGTCACAAGTGACAGCTATTCAAACTTTAATTAACTGCTGAAAAAAAGGGCCATCAGCTAAGAGAAGCAAAGAAGAGAAGAATATTGATTATAATCCTTTATTCAAATTATAAAATACTAGGTACAAATAAAATTTTATTTTCATCAGGACAAAGTATACATAGAAATAACACATAATCTCTGACATCTTACAGGCTGGGGAAGCAAAATGTACCTGCTTTCAAAGCATTTCACTTCCGTGTGTCTTTTTAATACATTTCATCTAGAATGTACATGTCTTGAAATAGAGATTTCAGGAAGTGACCAAGAAGAATGATTAATTAGCTCAGATTATTAAGGGGTGGACTTCAGGCAACTTGGTTAATATTGTTTGAAGATGACTTTTATTTAAACATAGATTTACAATAGCAAGGTGAACTGGAATAAGAGGAGAACTTAATTTAGCATATTTAAAAAATCTAACATATCTATCCTTTACATAAAAGACTTTTTCCAGTATTGCAAATTAAATTTTTATTTGTGGGGTGTAGTGAAACAGACTAGAGCACAATAGCTAAAACTTCAGAGGCTTTGCCAACTCAAATTCCCCAGATTTTATTTTTTTATTTTTTCTTTTCATAGTTTTTATTTTAGGTTTGGGGGTACATATGAAGGTTTGTTACATAGATAAACATGTGACATGGGGGTTTGTTGTACATATTATTACATCACCCAGGTATTAAGCTCAATACCCAACAGTGATCTTTTCTGCTCCTCTCCCTCCTCTCACCCTCCCCCCTCAAGCAGTCCCCAGTATCTGTTGTTTCCTTCGTGTTCATAAGTTCTTATCACGTAGCTCCCACTTATAAGTGAGAACATGTGGTATTTGGTTTTCTAATTTTTTTTTTTCTGAGACGGAATCTCGCTCTGTCACCCCTGCTGGAGTGCAGTGGTGCAATCTCAGCTCACTACAACCTCTGCCTCCTGGATTCAAGCAATTCTCCTGCCTCAGCCTCCCGAGTAGCTGGGACTACAGGCATGCACCACCACGCCTGGCTAATTTTTTTTTTTTTTTATTTTTAGTAGAGATGGGGTTTCACCATGTTGGCCAGGCTGGTCTCAAACTCCTGACCTCAAGTGATCTGCCCGCCTCGTCCTCCCAAAGTTCTGGGATTACAAGCGTGAGCCACCGCACCTGGACTTCATTTTCTATTCATGTATTAGTTTGCTAAGGATGATAGCCTCCAGCTCCATAACGTTCTCACAAAAGAAATGGCCTCATTCTTTTTCTGGCTGCATAGTATTCCATAGTCTATATGTACCACATTTTCTCGATCCAGTCTGTCACTGGTGGGCATTGAGGTTGATTCCTTGTCTTTGCTATTGTGAATAGTGCTGCAATGAGCATTCACGTGCATGTGAATTTTAGGTAGAATGCTTTACACTCCTCTGGGTACACACCCAGTAATGGGATTGCTGGGTCTAATGGTATTTCTGACTTCGGGTCTTTGAGGAATCGCCACACTGTCTTCTACAATGGCCGAACTAATTTACACTTCCACCAACAGTGTTTAAGTGTTCCCTTTCCTTCACAACCTCACCAGCTGTTATTTTTTGACTTTCTAATAACAGCCATTCAGACTGGTGCGAGATGGTACTCATTGGGGTTTTGTTTTGCATTTCTTTAATGGTCAGTGATACTGAGCTTTTTTTCACATGCTTGTTGGCTGCATGTATGTCTGTTCCTGTCCTTTGCCCTCTGTTGAATCAGGTTGTTTGATTTTTCTCCTGTAAATGTGTTTAAGTTACTTATAGATGGTGGATATCAGACCTTTGTCAGATGCATAATTTACAAATATTTTCTCCCATTCTGTAAGTTGTCTGTTTACACTGTTGATCATTTATTTTGCTGTGCAGAAACTCTTACGTTTAATTAGATCCCGTTAGTCAATTTTTACTTTTGTTGTGATTGCTTTTGGTGTCTTTGTTATGAAATCTTTGCCCGTTCCTATGTCCAGGATGGTATTACCTAGGTTGTTTCCCAGGGTTTTTATAGTTTTAGATCTTTAATCCATCTTGAGCTGATTTTTGTAAAGAAAGAGTCCAGCTTCAATTTTCTGCATATGGCTAGTAAGTTATCCCAGCACCATTTATTGAAAAGGGAGTCTTTTCCCTATTGCTTATTTTTGTCAGCTTTGTCAAAGGTCAGATGGTCATAGGTGTGTGGCTGTATTTCTGGGGTTTCTATTCGGTTCCATTGGTCTATGTGCCTGTTTTTGTACCAGTACCATTCTGCTTTGGCCACTGCAGCCTTGTAGTATAGTTTGAAGTCAGGTAACATGATTTCTCCAGCTTTATTCTTTTTGCTTAGAATTGCCTTGGCTCTTTGGGCTCTTTTTTGGTTCCATATAAATCTTTAAATAATTTTTTCTAGTTCTGTGAAGTATGTCGCTGATAGTTTGATAGGAATAGCATTGAATCTGTAAATTGCTTTGTCCAGCATAGCTATTTTATTTATATTGAATCTTCCTATCCACGAGCATGGAATGTTTCTCCATTTGTTTGTGTCTTCTCTAACTTCTTTGAGCAGTGTTTCATAATTCTCATTGTAGACATCTTTCCCCTCCTTGGTTAGCTGCATTCCCAGGTCTTTTTTATTTTATTTTATTTTATTTTATTTTATTTTATTTTATTTTTTCTGTGTGGTGGCAAATTATCTTTCTGATGTGGCTCTCAGTTTGGTTGTCGGTGGTGTACAGGAATGCTAGTGATTTTTATAAACTAATTATTAATTATGAAAATATCTTTCTGGTTTCCATTCAAACATCCCTACTACCACATTTAATTACCAAAGTGCATGCTCTTGGAAACACATAAAACAGACCATGATTTTAAAAAAGGTAATTATCCCTAAATCACCCAGAAAAACAATCTTTTACTTGGACAGATTTGCAGTTTTTAAAAAACTATGCCCAAATATTCATATTCAAAGTATAATTAAAGTTTTAGGGATATTTACTACTTTTATGTTTTCTTTCTTTTCTTTTTTTTTTTTTTTTTTCTGACGGAGTCTCACTCTGTCTCCCAGGCCGGAGTGCAGTGGTGCAATCTTGGCTCACTGCAAGCTCCACCTCCCGGGTTCACGCCATTCTCCTGCCTCAGCCTCCCGAGTAGCTGGGACTACAGGCGCCCACCACCATGCCTGGCTATTTTTTTTGTATTTTTAGTAGAGACAGGTTTCACCATGTTAGCCAGGATGGTCTCGATCTCCTGACCTCGTGATCCGCCTGCCTCGGCCTCCCAAAGTGCTGGGATTACAGGCATGAGCCACTGCGCCCAGACTCTAGTTGATATTTTTACTGATTTCCAATAGCTTACTTATTTTATTTCAAAGATCAGATCTAACTGGACGTCAAATAGAGCCTGTGGACTCGCTTGGCAGCAAGCGGGGGCTACTAGCTGCACCTTTGGAGAAAGGTCAGAGGCCTTGTGCTTACAGAAGCATGTGACCAGGAAGCAGGGGAAAGATGCTTCATATCATGGCTAAGAAAATCCTACCTAGTAGGCCTGGTGCCGTGGCTTACACCTCTAATCCCAGCACTTTGGGAGGCCAAGGCGGGTGGGTCACAAGGTCAGGAGTTTGAGACCAGCCTGGCCAACATGCCGAAACCCTGTCTACTAAAAATACAAAAATTACATGGGCATGGTGGTGCACACTGGTAATCCCAGCTACTAGGGAGGGTGAGGCAGGAGAATTGCTTGAACCTGGGAGGCTGAGGTTGCAGTGAGCCGAGATTGCACCATTGCACTCTAGCCTGGGCAACAAGAAGGAAACTTTTTCTAAAAAAAAAAAAAGAAAGAAAGAAAGAAAGAAAATCCTACCTAGTAAAGTTCCTCTGTACTAGTAGCTAACCATCTTGATGTGGATCTGAGGCAGACAACTTTAAATCAGTGTTGCACCACAGCATGTGACCTTAGAGAGAAGCTGCCCCGTGCCCGCTGCTTCTGCTCTCTCCACCTCAAATTAAAAGCCCTAGGGAAGAATTCTCATTAATAAGACATGCCATTGGCAGTTACTCTTCAGTAGTCTATATTTTTCTAAATTTTTAAATTTTACCCCTTTTGTTGTTTTAAATATTACCTCTATTTGTAATACATAAAAATAGGAACAAAAATAAACATTATCTTGAATATCCATTTATATATCTCTGACATTTGGAATTTGCTTCTTTGAAAGCAATTAATTACATAAAAGGGCATTCGAAATCTTTTATTTGGTTTTTCCTATATTGCTCCATGTGGACTTAATGTTCTAGTTTTCCTTTTATTTTCCACATCATTTCAAGGGCATCAAATGAAATTGAAATATTGATTAAAAGTACATCATTTAAGTCAATTATAGAGACTAGCTACCTTTGCGGGTAGAATTACTCATTTTAAGTAGCTGAGTATAATCAGTACAGGAGACCATTTAGATGACTAAATTAAAATTTTAAAAATCTGAATCTTATATTCACATACAAATCTCACTCCTCTCTTTTACTCTATGTCAAGACTTATTTACATGCTTCAACTTATCCTAAAGATTTACATTTATTTCATAGATTTTAAATAATTATTTCATTTTACCAATATCTCCCAAGAGGCCTAGCACTGCAAGAATATTTGGGGGTCTGTCCTATAAAAGTCCTCTAAACTATGTGTTCTTTCTCTATAAAAGTCCTCTAACCTATGTGTTCTTTCTCTATAAAAGTCCTCTAAACTATGTGTTCTTTCTCTATAAAAGTCCTCTAAACTATGTGTTCTTTCTCTATAAAAGTCCTCTAAACTATGTGTTCTTTCTCTATAAAAGTCCTCTAAACTATGTGTTCTTTCTCTCATTTAACTGCACAGATAGAGTTCTTTCTTTCTCTTTTCTTTCCTTTCTTTTCTTTCCCTTTCCTTTCTTTCTTTCTCTCTCTCTCTCTCACTTTCTTTCTTTCTTTTGGTTTTTTTTTTGTTTGTTTTTTTTCAAAGTCTCACCCTGTAGCCAGGCTGAAGTGCAGTGGCACAATCTTGGCTGACTGCACCGTCCACCTCCCAGGTTCAAGTGATTCTCCTGCCTCCGCCTCCCGAGTAGCTGGGACTACAGGCGCCTGCCACCATGCCCAGCTCATTTTTGTATTTTTAGTAGAAGCAGTGTTTCACCATGTTGGCCAGCATGGTCTCGATCTCTTGACCTTATGATCCGCCCACCTCGGGCTGCCAAAGTGCTGGGATTACAGGCATGAGCCACCGCACCCGGCCTATAGAGTTCTCTCAGAGGGGAATGTGAGTATAGTTTTTTATTTTAAAAGGTGAAAACCTATTGTCACAGAATAACAAACTCATGAGTCTATAGAATATTCCCTCAAAATATCACTATTGGCTAACTGTCATAATAATGTTTAAATTAAATCTCTATATTAATAATTTATAAAGGAACATACAGATCTCTGTGCAGATATCTCCTTATAAATCACTTACATAGATTTTTCATGTCACCAGGAAAATAAGGAAAATCCTTCCTAACATATATAATATAATTATGAGGCTTTGAGTCCACGAATAGAAATCATCTATCAAAAAACTATACTATCTCAGTAAGATACAATACCACAAAAGCTTTTACACAGTAAGCATCATAATATGGCAGCCAGAATAAGCATATGTAAAATATTTTGACAAATAAAATTCCAATTCTCAATCACGTTCA
Source organism: Homo sapiens (assembly GCF_000001405.40). Lineage (NCBI taxonomy): Eukaryota > Metazoa > Chordata > Mammalia > Primates > Hominidae > Homo > Homo sapiens. The sequence continues at coordinate 190,323 of NT_187545.1, read as the reverse complement.
AAAGAATGTACTTACATTTTTTATGTCTTAAGTTTAGTTCAGTGCTTTAGGATAACTATTGGGTAACTGGGATGCATGCCACTTTCTACTGAAAATGAGAACCAAGTATCCTTCATGCCAAAGATGGCTTTATCACTTAAAACCAGAAAAAACCTCAGACACAATAGACCCTTTTTCTAATGCCTGTGCATTGAATATCAACCACAAAAAAAGCTGAATTTTTCTGAAATTTAAATAGGAAACACTAAGTTTTCCAACAGGACAGTTTTTATTTACCTGCATGATAATATATTTTGTTCGTGTCGTATCATTAACTGACTTAAGAAGACAAAGATCAACTGATAATGAAATGCTTCAGAAAAGTCGTATTGGCAGTAAAAGAAAGCTATTGGCAAACTTCAGAAAGAGTTGTTAGACAAAATTTTTTTCTTTCATATTCTGGTAATCAAATTAAATATTTGTTTAAGAAAATTCAGTTAATCTTTGAGAAAGTACCCGAAGACCGGTCTATAGCCCGCTCTGCAGAAATCAAATTACTCTGACTGAGAAAGAATCTGTCACAGTTTTCACATTTTTAATCATCCACAAACATTACGGATTCTTTGAACTTTACCAGTATTTCATATTTGACAGGTGCATTTTTTTTAATTTTGGGAAGAGTCTAAAAGATATATAATCTTCTTTCCAGTAAGTGACATACCAACATGATGCTACGTTGTTGCCTGAAGACATTTTACTGATGCTTCTGTGTTACTTTCTCAACTTATAAAAAGAAGAAACATTTGAAATGTCCATTTGAAGATACGTTTGTTTGTTTGTTTGTCTGTTTGTTTGTTTTTGAGACAGAGTCTCACTCTCTCGCCCAGGCTGGAATGCAGTGGCACGATCTCAGCTCACTGCAAGCTCTGCCTCCCGGGTTCACGCCATTCTCCTGCCTCAGCCTCCTGAGTAGCTGGGACTACAGGCGCCCGCCACCACGCCTGGCTAATTTTTTGTGTTTTTAATAGAGATGGGCTTTCACTGTGTTAGTCAGGATGGCCTTGATCTCCTCACCTCGTGATCCATCCTCCTCGACCTCCCAAAGTGCTGGGATTACAGGTGTGAGCCACCATGCCTGGCCTGAAGATACTTCTAAACATTTAATTTTTTGGAAAAGCTAACTTATTTATGCTATTCATCACCACTTGCATAGGCCCAGCATCCTACTTAGAATTAACTGCTAGGAAATGAACTTTCTTTATCACAGTAGATGTCAACATGTTTCGTCTTTACATTCGTTATTAGAAAACTTGGAGTGAAATAAGGTATTAACTACAATAAATGAATCTAAAATAATAAACTTGTTTATTTGCTTTTTGAAAAAGAATTTCCTTGTTTTTACTCAAAAGGCATATATAGTTTCATATATACTTTAACTTTTTAATTTATCTTAAACTTTGTGATGTGGACAGGAACAATGTAATTTATTTTGGTATATATTGATCCCCAACTCTTATGTAGTACATACATCATAAATAAGTGCAAACATGCATATGTAAATAAACAGGACTATATTTCTGTAATGGGTATGTTTAGAGAACAGTTCAAAATATTAGACTGACAATAACTAGAAAGAACAATAGAGCAATATACAAATAGGAATTATGATGTAGTTTTGATAAACAGTAAAATATTGCTAATGTGCAGAAATTTATTATACAATAAAAGTGGCATTTCAAATCAGTAGAGGAGGTGATTTATTTTATAAGATAGATTGTAATAAATAAATTACCATCTGGAAAAGAAATAAAGTGAGATACATACCTCACACTTTACCCTAAAATAAATTACAGATGTTAAATACAGGATATAAGGCTAAAATAAATTGGGAAAAAAGAATTTTAAAGTTTGGAATTGGAGAAGGATTTTGTAATATGACAAAATGCTCCAATATATAAAATAAACATGTTTAATTGCATAAAAATTAAAATCTATATATAAAATAATTCCATAAACAATACAAAAAAAACTTGGAAAAAATTACAACCATTTTAATAGCTAAGGGGTTCATATTCTTAACATGTCCAGTTTTCATGAATCATCTGGGAAAAGACTAATAGTCTGGTGAACAAACGGGAAGACCATATGAAAGTGGGGGAAACCTCAATCTCACTTATAAAGGAAAAGTTACAAATTAAAACTTAATTACATAACATATTTTATCTCTCAGGTTAATACAGTTCACAAATGTTGATGACACAGTGTGTGGGTGGCACTGTGAGGAAAACATGCAGTCATGCATTACTAGTGGAAATATAGATTTATATACTATCCACTGAAGCAATTTAGGAATATTTCTTAAAATTAAAAATGCATGATTTCTTTTGCCTAATAATTTTGCTTCTAGGAATTTATCCTATGGACATACTACACACACTCTAAATGATGTCTGCACAGCAAGATTCACTTGCAAATACTTTAAATGTTCAACCGGTCAAATCAATTATGATATATTTTTATGGCCATTAAAAAGACGATGGTAACTCTTTCTGTGCTGCTGTGGAATAAAGAGAGAGAAGAAAAAAGTGTGTGTGCATGCACATGTGCTTATCTTTGTGTGAATAGATAAGTGATAAAAGAAAGGCTGAAACCAACCTGTAGGATGAAATCATTTGTGTTAAAAAAAGAAAAGGAAAACAGAAAGAAATCATGCTCAATATCTTCTCTAGGGGTGTCACTGTTTGGCTGGACTGTTCACCTGGCTACCACACACAAGTGGAAAACAAACTTTTTTTTTGAGACGGAGTCTCACTCTGTCACCCAGCCTGGAGTGCGATGGCTCGATCTCAGCTCACTGCAAGCTCCGCCTCCCAGGTTCATGCCATTCTCCTGCTTCAGCCTCCCAAGTAGCTGGGACTACAGGCGCCCGCCACCACGCCCGGCTAATTTTTTGTATTTTTAGTTTCACCGTGTTAGCCAGGATGGTCTTGATCTCCTGACCTTGTGATCCGCCTGCCTCGGCCTCCCAAAGTGCTGGGATTACAGGCGTGAGTCACTGCGCCCGGCCCCAGAAAACATACTTTTCAATTATGTGCTTTTATATCTTTGAAAATGTGTGCCGTGTGTGAGTGTAGGCAGGTGTGTGTATTAACTTTAGTAGTATTTCTGATACTTCCTTTTAGATATTTACTAAATGTTGTTTATAGGAATTTGAATTACATTATACTTACTTTACTAAATTTATTTTGTTGTATACTGAAAGAAAATTTGATGCATACCCATACTAATAAGTCTTATATATCAAAAGTTATCAAAATACTTTCATAGAATCATGAAACAGATTTTTTTTCTTATACAGGATACCTACATAACTCAGGAAAACATAGCATAGAATACATGACCCAGTTATTCAGCTTATTATGTATGTTAACTACAACAGGTCGCTGAAGCTCCATTTCCTTATTGTTAAATAGCTAAAACTTGCTCTAACACTTAATATTGTAGAGTTCAATGATAAAATGTCTGTAAAATGTCTTTGTCATCCAAAAAGAAATACAAATGAAAACTATTGTTATAAAAAATGTAAATTTTGTAGAAGGAAAATGTAATAAAGTGTATTACTCTGTTTTCACACTGCTGATAAAGACATACCCAAAACTGGGAAGAAAAAGAGGTTTAATGGACTCACAGTTCCACATGGCTGGGGAGGCCTCACAATCATGGTGAAGGCAAGGAGGAGCAGGTCACATCTTACATGGATGGTGGCAGGCAAAGAGAGAGCTTGTGCAGGGAAACTCCCCCTTTTAAAACCATCAGATCTTGAGAGACTCATTCACTATCATGAGAACAGCACAGGTAAGACCTGCCTCCATGATCCAGTCACCTCCCACCAGATCCCTGCCACAACATGGGGGAATTCAAAATGAGATTTAGGTGGAGACACAGCCAAACCATATCATTCTGCCTCTGGCCCCTCCCAAATCTCATGTCCTCACATTTCAAAACCAATCATGCCTTCCCAGCAGTCCCCCAAAGTTGTAACTCATTTCAGCATTAATTCAAAAGTCCACAGTCCAAAGTCTCATTCAAGACAAGGCAAGTCCCTTCCACCTATGAGCCTGTAAAATCAAAAGCAAGTTAGTTACTTCCTAGATACAAAGGGGTTCAGGCATTGGGTAAATACAGCCTTTCCAAATGGGAGAAATTAGCCAAAATAAAGGGGCTACAGGCCCCATGCAAGTCCAAAATCCAGCAGGGCACTCAGATCTTTAAGCTCCAAAATGACCTCCTTTGAGTCTATGGCTCACATCCAGGTCACGGTAACGTAAGAGGTAGGTTCCCATGGCCTTGGGCAGCTTCACCCTGTGGCTCTTCAGGATACAGCCTCCCTCCTGGCTCTGTGGCTCTTCAGGATACAGCCTCCCTCCTGGCTCCTTTCATGGGCTGGTGTTGAATGTCTGTGGTTTTTCCAGGTGCACAGTGCAAGCTGTCAGTGGATCTACCATTCTGAGGTCTGGAGGACGGTGGCCCTCTTTTCACAGCTCCACTAGGCAGTGCCCCAGTAGGGACTCTGTGTGGGGGCTCCGACCCCACATTGCCCTTTCACATTGCCCTAGCAGAGGTTCTTCATGAGAGCCCCACCCCTGCAGCCAACTTCTGCCTGGACAACCAGGTATTTCCATACATGCTTTGAAATCTAGGTAGAAGTTCCCAAACCTCAATGCTTGACTTCTGTGAACCCGAAGGCTCAACACCGCATGGAAGCTGCCAGGGCTTGGGGCTTTCACCATCTGAAGCAATAGCCCAAGCTGTACCTTGGCCCCTTTCAGTCACAGCTGGAGCATCTGGGAAGCAGGGCACCAAGTCCCTAGACTGCACACAACACAGGGATCCTGGGTCTGGTCCACAAAACCACTTTTTCCTCCTAGGCCTCCTGGCCAGTGATGAGAGGGTCTGCCATGAAGACCTCTGATATGCCCTGGAGATATATTCCCCATTGTCTTGGGGATTAACATTTGGCTCCTCGTTACTTATGAAATTTCTGCAGCCAGCTTGAATTTCTCCTCAGAAAATGGGAATTTTTTTTTTTTTTTTTGAGACCTAGTCTCACACCATTGCCCGGGCTGGAGTGCAGTGGCGCTATCTCGGCTCACTGTAACCTCTGCCTCCTGTGTTCAAGCAATTCTCCTGCCTCAGCCTCCTGAGTAGCTGGGATTACAGGCACCTGCCACCACGCCTGGCTAATTTTTTGCATTTTTAGTAGAAACGGGGTTTCATTATGTTGGCCAGGGCTGGTCTCGAATGCCTGACCTCGTGATCCATCCACCTCGGCCTTCCAAAGTGCTGGATTACAGGCGTGAGCCACCATGCCCAACCAGGGTTTTCTTTTCTATTGTTTTGTCAGGCTACAAATTTTCTGAACTTTTATGCTCTGCTTCCCTTTTAAAACTGAATGCCTCGACAGTACTTAAGTCACCTCTTGAATGCTTTGCTGCTTAGAAATTTCTTCTGCCAGATACCCTAAATCATCTCTCTCAAGTTCAAAGTTCAACAAATCTCTAGGGAAGGGGCAAAATGTCACCAGTGTCTTTGCTAAAACATAACAAGAGTCACCTTTGCTCCAGTTCCTACAAGTTCCTCATTTAATCTGGGACCACCTCAACCTGGACTTCATTGTCTATATCGCTATCAGCATTTGGGGCAAAGCCATTCAACAAATCTCTAGGGAGTTCCAAACTTTCCCACACTTTCCTGTCTTCTTCTGAGCCCTCCAAATTTTTCCAACCTCTGCCTGTTACCCAGTTCCAAAGTCGCTTCCACATTTTTGGGTATTTCAGCAGCACCCTACTCTACTGGTACCAATTTACTGTATTAGTCCATTTTCACACTGCTGATAAAGACATACCCGAGACTGGGAAGAAAAAGAGGTTTAATGGACTCACAGTTCCACATGGCTGGGGAGGCCTCACAATCATGGCAGAAGGCAAGGAAGAGCAAGTCACATCTTACATGGATGGTGGCAGGCAAAGAGAGAGCTTGTGCGGGGAAACTCCCCCTTTTAAAACCATCAGATCTCGAGAGACTCATTCACTATCATGAGAACAGCACAGGTAAGACCTGCCCCCATGATCCAATCACCTCCCACCAGGTCCCTCCCACAATGCGTGGGAATTCATTCAAGAAGAGATTTGGGTGGGGACACAGCCAACCCATAACATAAAGCATGTGTTCAGGGTAGATCATCAGCAAAATTAATACAGATGTTCCTATTTCCCAGTTCCCTGGTTCTGCCTCTAGGCACGTGTCCTCACACTAGCTATGCATCAGATGGAAGCTTTACTGCACTACCTCTCTCTCTGTTTCTCTCTTAGGAGATCCTGAAGAACTTGGCTAATAAATTAATTGTACCTCTGTGTTTCTTTCAAATCTCTCCAGACTACCTCCTCTATGTTAGGAAAAATATAACAGGTTAATTCTATACTCAAGAAAAATGCGTATTGTATTAGTCTGTTTTCACATTGCTGATAAAGACATAACCGAGACTGGGCAATTTTCAAAAGAAAGAAGCTTATTGGCCTTACAGTTCCACATGGCTGGGGAGGCCTCACAATCACAGTGGAAGGCAAGGAGGAGCAAGTCACATCTTACATGGATGGCAACAGGCAAAGAGAGAGCTTGTGCAGGGGAACTCCCCATTTTAAAACCATCAGAAACCCATTCACTATCACAAGAACAGCATAGGAAAGACCCACCCCATGATTCAATCATCTCCCACCGGGTCCTGCCCACAACACGTGGAATTATGGGAGCTACAAGATGAGATTTGGGAGGGGACACAGAGCCAAACCATATCACATATTTACTTATTAATAACGATGAGATTAAACTTCTTAATAAGACATAGTATCCTTTGTTCTATAATTGTGTCAGACTTTTAGGGGAGATATTTCAGGGCAGGGGAGTCTTAAAGAATCAAGGAAGATGCATGATTACCTTAGCTGACTTAAGAGAAACTACTTGCATGAAAGTAGTTAAGTTCTAAAATTGAAGCACATGTGGATAATTTTTGATACAAAAAGGTTCCATATGAATATCAAATTTTCTAAATGGAAATGACCTAATGTGATGAAAGATTGAAACAATATCACTATTAAAGTGTAACATGATTTTTAATGTCTTCCATGAAAATCTTATCTTACTAGTAATGGCCCTGGGGTTGTGAGAAAGCCATACACAGTCTTTAAAGTAAAACAATGTCTAAGTAATCTTATAATGTCTATTAGGACAAGTTTTAACATAGGCTATACTATTTTAGAAAATCTGCAGTACAGGCTAGGCACAGTGGCTCACGCTTGTAATCCCAGCACTTTGGGAGGCCAAGGTGGGCAGATCACAAGGTTGGGAGTTCAAGACCAGCCTGGCCAATGTGGTGAAACCCCATCTCTACTAAAAAAAAAAAAATACAAAAGTTAGCTGGGCATGGTGGCATGTGCCTATAATCCCAGCTACTCAGGTGGCTGAGGCAGGAGAATTGCTTGAACCTGGCAGGTGGAGGTTGCAATGAGCCAAGATGGTGCCACTGCACTCCAGCCTGGGCGACAGAGCAAGACTCCGTCAAAAGAAAAAGAAAGAGAAGAGAAGAAGAGAAGAGAAGAGAAAAGAGAAGAGAAAAATGTGCAGTATATTACCAAGCTCTTAGAATAGTAGTACTCTGTGAGTACAAGCAGGATTACCATTGAATGGCTGCAATAGAGCTTCCTTTTGGTAGACAGAACACATCACAGAGCTGAGAACAGAATAAACGTGATTACATTGATCAGGTACATTCAAATTCAGTTTTAAGGTTTTAAATGTTCACTTTTCAGGATTGGCAGCATGTATCTGATGTGTGCAAGTTTTGTTTGGGCACAAGGGTCCTTGGAAAGAAATTGGTGATGATGTCCAAATGCAGGATGACACGGATGCACTCTGGGCAGTCCAGACTCCCTTGCAGAAACACTGAGGTTAGCGCTCCACCCACTTCACGTACTGTTATGATATACGTTGTGTCCCAATGATAGCCTCCATTTCCCTCATTCTTATATGCACAACCAACTGCTTTTTACAACACCAGACCAGAAAGTGCAGAAGAGCAATATTTAATGTGATTTAATGGTAGCAATTTAGATATTTAGCTAGTTTTCTGTGAAGGGAATGGGAATTGGGGGTCAAAGACGTTTAGCCTTTCTTTTTCACTTATATGAGGCTACACCAGAGGTAAAACCCTGCCCCAGAGGATATCGACTGTTTCCTGTAATAGGTACTGATCTCTGTAATTTAGATTATTGATTTCTGAATCACATAAGACTTGGTTACGAAGACTACTGTGCTTATATTGTTATTTTCATCTTATCTAGTATCTCAGATCTGTTTCTAAACAATCTCTGGCATTCCATTTTCTAGGTGATCCTTAGAACCACCAGCCAGCCCAACATTGCTACTTATTTAATGTTCCTCTCTCAACCACGTGGGGAAATGAACAATTGAGTTGGTGTTAAACAGAAACAGAAAATAGAGAGTTCAGTTGGTGTTATCTTCATTTTGCTATTGTATGGTAAGCGTTTGCTATTCATGAAAGATGTGTCTTGAATTTGTAAATACCATTATTTTAGAGACCTACAATGAGTCATTAAGAGCTTAGCATGATTCACCGATGTAGTGGGTCCCACCTACAGACCAGCCCATGGGTCACATATACTTGGGGCATTCACATACATTATCACAAGAAACTTATTAAAAAAACCCTTGAGGCAAATGGTTTTAATACTATCCCAATTTACTTTGCAACATAGATCTCAGTGCTGCCTGTGAGAAGTAGAAAAGGAATTTTACATCCTAAAATCAAAGAATGTATAACAGACTCAATATTCATTTTTTATTTTCAGAGTAACGCAGTTATTTAGCTTCTTCTAGTGATGAACACTTTGAGAATCTGATGAACTAAAGTTATCAGATGGTCTGATGCTCAGAGCCCATTACCTCTAAATTATAAAGATCAATAAATACCCCCAATGCTTAGCGGTTGACATTTGTATAACATTTTCTACTCTTGAAGGGCCCTAGGTCTTTGTTCTTCCACTAAATATCAGTGTGACCTCCAGCAAATCATTGAACTTTTATTTGTCTCCTATTTCTTATCAAGAAAAGTATGTGTTAAATCCTTTTGGCTCTAGCATTCTATGGTGTTATCTGCACTATCTTATTTGATCCAACATCCTTCTACTCCTCACCACTGTTGCTATTTCTATAGATCCTGCTGACAATAACTATTCCCTATCTACCTCTGGTTCACTCTGTATAACTGAGAAATGACAGTCCAGTAGCAAGTACTCACACCCACGAAGCCTCACACAGTGTTCCCTGGCCTTCATTTAATAAATACATTTTTCATTACTTGGCCTTATTTTATTAATAAGCACATTTTTTTTTTACCTTTTGTCAGCAACTCTAAAGTTTTGCAGAATATTTCTCATTGAAATCTCAAATCCTGCTAGACTTCCGTGAGATAGTCACCCAGCTAGCAAGTAAGCCTGGCTATCAGCTCAGTATTCATTCCTTCACTAGCTAATGTTTGTATATTCAGTATTTGAATAGTACAAAGAGACTTTTTAAAAAAAGTAAAATTTTGTTTCATTAGGAAAAAATATTAATCAGTTGATAAATAAAGCTTAATACTTAAAAAATTTTAATGAACTACCATGTGAAAAATAACTTTTTTTTTTTTTTGAGACGGGGTCTCTCTCTGTCTCTGGGCCTGGAGTGCAGTGTCTTGATCTCGGCTCACTGCAACCTCCGCCTCTAGGGCTCAAGCAATTCTCCTGCCTCAGCCTCCCAAGTAACTGGAATTACAGGCGCACGCCACCACACCTGGCTAATTTTTGTACTTTTAGTAGAGATGGGGTTTCACCATGTTGGCCAGGCTGGTCTCAAACTCCTGACCTCAAGTGATCTACCCACCTCGTCCTCCGAAAGTGCTGGGATTACGGGTGTGAGCCACTGTGCCTGGCAAAAGTAACCTCTTTTTTTTTTTTGAGACAGAGTTTCACTCTTGTTGCCCACGCTGGAATGCAATGATGCAATCTCGGCTCACTGCAACACTGCAACCTCCGCCTCCCGGGTTCAAGCAATTCTCTTGCCTCAGCCTCCCGAGTCGCTAGATTACAGGCACGCACCACCATGCCTGGCTAGTTTTTTGTATTTTTAGTAGAGACGGGGTTTCACCATGTTGGTCAGGCTGGTCTCGAACTCCTGACCTCCAGTGATCCACCCACCTCGGCCTCCCAAAGTGCTGGGATTACAGGCATAAGTCACTGTGCCCCGCCAAAATAACCTTTTTTATTCACCATTTCTAATCCTTGTCCACCTGAGACAAGTAACAGCATGTCATGAATCCTCTAGAATTGTTTTAGGGATAATGAGAAATACATAATATTGTTTTTTGTGAAATGCATATAAAAGAATGTTTTGCACACATGGCATCAAATCATCAGATTTTGCACCTTGATTTTTATAATTTTTATGACTTCATGTCAGTACATATAGATCCTTCCCATCTTTCTAAATACTACATAGTCTTCCATAACGTGCTTAACTAAAATGTATTTGTGGTCCTCCCACACAGGGTCATGCACAACACTGTGTACCTGGCCACTGGAAGATGTGCCACACTTTTCTCTGACACTCATGTTCACAGATGGAACTGAGTCATAGAGTGTATACATAGTTCATTCTTCTAAATCTAATCCATTTTTTTAAGAGGTTTTATCAATTCTCTTTTTATCTGCAGTTGAGGAGTACACATTTCTCCCTGCCCACTTGCCCTTGACATGATCAAACAACGATATTTGGTCATCAAAGAAATTCCATTGCCATTTTAACATGTAGTCCTCAGATTATTAGTGAGATTAAGCTTATTTTTATAATTTTAAAAATAATTTTGTGTCTCATTGCACAGGTCTTTCTGAATTTGCTCTTGGTATATTTACTCATTTTCCCATATTTAGTGTCCTGTCATTTCCTTCGTAACTTACCACGTTATACTCAAAGCAAACAATATTTTCTCCAGTCTGTTATTTGTCTTTAGTTTTGTTTATGGTATCTTTTGCCACGTAGAAAATTGTAAAGAATGTTGAAAAGGCATTTAATGTAGTTGGAGGATATGCAGTGAAAACAATTCTTGATCGCAATGCGAGATAAACCCAAGAGCTTATCAAAACATATGGTTATCCGCAATATTGGTGATGTTCAAAGGTTTCAGAAGGTAACTCCCATAAATATAAAAGAATACATACATACATGTATTCCTCTTTCTAAAGTTGTAATATTGACAACCAACCTCTTCATATTAACATTATCCTCTGGTGAAGGAAAAAAAAAATGGGGCCCAAAAATTGTTGAGTCACTGATTCCTTCATATTTTTCACTAAATCATCATTGCCGTAGTAACTTCCTGTTATTTTCAACTTTGAAAATCCAGAGTGTGATTGAACAGGTCTTCATGAATACACGTATTTCAAGGGTCAACATGAAGAAAAGATTTAAGTCTGGGGACAGACAAAGAGGGTGAGTGAAAGCTTAAGGCTGCAGGTTGGTGACCATAAGGAAAGTCCACGGCCACGCCGCAAACGGCCTTGGTGGGCCCACAGTGGCATCTGAGGCATGAGAAAGGACAGCTTTGTCCACATGGAAAGTTTGTGTAAGTCCACGGCCACGCCGCCAATGGCCTTGGTGTGCCCTCAGTGGCGTCTGAGGCATGAGAAAGGACAGCTTTGTCCACATGGAAAGTTTGTTTTAGAGGATGGAGACAGACGGTATGGAAGTTGGCAAGTGGGCCAGGTGAGAGGTGTTGATGACTTGAACTCAGATTAAAGGAGTAGATATAAGGAGGAGAGAATCCTTTCAGGACACATTTATGTGACAAGAAGAATCTCCCTCCTGTTTCCCCAGAGAGGAACTGGAAGAGAGATGAGCCTTGAGTAAGATAAAAGGAGAAAGCAGGTGAGGTGGGGGAAATTTCAGCCAGAGTTCTTTGCAACTAGAGTACTGCATCCTTTGGTGCTATGTTCATGCCTCAGCAGTGGATTATTTTCCTATTCTCAGTTTGTGTTTGCGTTTGAACCAGAGTGAGGGGGTCACGGGGGGGTACATGACTGAAAGCAGCTGGATGAAGGAGAAGAAACACTCTTCCACCAGCACTAACTCAGGTGTAGAAAGAACGTAGCAAAGTAGAGAGCAGTCAGGCAAATGGTCCCCTTCCTTTTCATGTGTTTAGACAAAAGGTCACAAACTCCTTACCCATTGACTAAATCCTCCTCACAGAAATTATTTGTTTGATCTGCACAATATTTAACCTTTTGAGTCAACATACAAGCAATTCCAATGAGGACTGCAGGCTTCTATTTAAGAACTGGAAGTTTTGGAACCCTGGCCCTCCCTCCCACATACCAGCAAGCAGTGAAGCTGAAGGGGCTACTCTCATTCCTCCCAGAGTTCTACACAGTTCCTCACACCTGGCCACACAGCTTCCTGCTTACACTTCACTACCTCAGTGAGTTTCTGTTTGCTGGTTTGCTGTTGTTGAATTTTTTTTGTTTTATCTGCCTGACTTCAGTAAGCATTTGAGTCTAGAGAATCCGTAAGATAAGGATCAATGTTCATCTTTGGTATATGTCTGTGTGTATAAAAATATATATTTAATAGTTACTAATAAATACAAGATAAAGAGAAAGGTCTTCTGCTTACCATCATTCTCAAAGAGAAACAGGCTTTAAGTGTCTCTGGCTAACCTAGATGCTTCTGTGAAGCCGCCGCCCCACATGACAAGTGGTCTTCGGAGTGACACACAGGACCAGAAGTAACTGCAGATGACCTGTAGAAGCTTTCCCCACCACTATCACCAGGGGCACCTTCTAGAATAAATAACTCGGCCCTGGGAACTCCTGCTGAAGAAGGGAGGAATCTGTGTCTGAGGCACGTCTAGTCTTGACAGTAGGGAGCAGAGAGTCCTGATAGCAGGTGGTGAGTGTGAGGGAGAAGACAGAAACAGGCCTTCCGGAGGGCAGGGGATCAAGGATAGGAACCGAGTGTGCTCACTCAAAGACTCTGGAATCTATCAACTCTTGAGATGTTTTTACCCTGGAATATTGGCAAAAATCATATGTTCTGTATAGTTTTGTGTGTTTGGCGTTTTTGTGTACTTGCTTGTTGTGTTTTTTTTTTTCCCTGAGATGGAGTCTTGCTCTGTTGCCCAGGCTGGAGTGTGCAATAGTGCCATCTCAGCGTACTATAACCTCTGCCTCCCAGGTTCAAGAGGTTCTCCTGCCTCAGCCTCCCAAGTAGCTAGAACTACAGGCACGCCCAGCTAATTTCTGTATTTTTAGCAGACACGGGATTTCACCATGTTGGCCAAGATGTTCTCCATCCCCTGACCCTGTGATCTGCCCATCTCGGCCTCCCAAAGTGCTGGGATTACAGGCGTGAGCCACCGCGTCTGGCCTTGTTTTTTATAGGCACTGGGATTACAGGCGTGAGCCACCGCGCCCGGCCTTGTTTTCTACAGGCACTGGGATTACAGGCGTGAGCCACCGCACCCGGCCTTGTTTTCTACAGGCATGGCAGCATTGTGCACATCTGCATTTTAGTTACCTACAGATATATCTTGGCTGCTTTCTATATCCTTACACAGACAGGGGCCTTAACAATGTTTCCACCCCTTTTTATATTCCAAGTATTAAATGAATATGCTGTAATTTACGTAACCAGTTTTTTTTTTTCTTAACAATGTGGGAATGGAAGAGGGCAGAAGGCCTCTTTGGTGCTATGATGTTCCTAGATAATCAGTATGTTTGTAGGAGACGCTAGACATCCCCTGCTAGACGGCAAGCTGGTATTGTGAAAGACAAAGCACCAAACTATAAAAAGACATGTGGTCCACTCTGACAGCCACCTCTCTTCTTGTAACATATCTGTACCCCTTCCTGGTGCAAAGAGTGTGCTGGTATGATTCTCTGGGAATATTCTGGTAACTATTAATTGAGGTGGGTAATTGGACAGATGTGGAAGCAAGGAAGAAAAGTGTTCTAGAACCACCTCTAGGTTCTAGGCTTGGAGGATGTTGCACATTTGACATGCCACTAAAACTCCTGCCCTAAATGGAGAAGATTCAGGATTCTTCCAGCTCCTCAGGCCGAGGGACACACACGATTTTGGCTCTACATGGAAGGAGTGTTGTTGTTTCTTCTAGACTGGGCACACACTCCTGGAGTCACTTTCTCTGCACGGGGTACAGTGGGATTGACTCTGGGCAGCATTCAGAGGATGAAATCGTTATTTTACTCCTCTACTCTTTCACGCATTTGTTAGCTACTACTTGCTTCCTGGACTTGCCATTTACATTCTTCCCAGTGCCTATGCATTCATGTTGCCAATTGCCTATGAAAATTGACCCGGGCTCATTCTCTGGAAGTGCCCCACTGCTCCAAATTCACATCTGCTTTCCACTGAAAACTCCACTTCTTTCCTCTTGACAAATCGCAGCTGAGAAGGAAGGTTTCTTGGAATGACTACCATATCTTGCTTCACCTTCCGAGAAATGCTCGCCCTTAATAGCCTACATGAATGTCATCATGGGTGCATCTCTGGCTGTGAGACAGAGGGAGGAGTTGTAGCAAGGGCAGAGACACACGGCCGGGCTCTAGAAAGCTTCCCAACTTCTTTAAATTGGCCCAAACTGAGGACATGTTTCTGGTCCTGCTGGCTCCCACCAGACTCTGCTGGTCAGTGCTGACCCAGCAGTGAGAACACCAATACTGATGTTACCCGTTGTACGCTCACCCGATTCACACGCTTTCAAGGATACATTTTCCAGTTTCTCCGCTGTGAGGACACTTTGTTTATCACCCCCAGTTCTCACTAAGTTCTTATTATTTCACTCTGAATTAACATCTTGGCAATAGGTTAAACAGGAAATAGAGCACAACATTGTAAACCCTGCTTCTGACACCAGCTCAAGGAAACATTCAGTAGCAGGAGGGTATGGTCACAAAAAAATTACTTTTGAATATTTGCATATTTAAACTATAGAAGTTCTCTGAGTTCCCCATTTGGATAAGCAATCCAGAATTATTTACATTTGGCTCTTTGAATACTAAATCTAATCTTTTCTGGCATAAATGGTCTCAACATGTGTATGAGGTGTCATAGCAGTGATATAATAAATTCAGATGATTTGTATATTCAAAAAGGCTTGAATTACTATGTGAGAATTACAATATAATTGCAAGAATGTGGTATCAATGTGTGAGACTAAATTTTACTGACAGACCTGGAAAATAGTTACAATAACAATGTAAATGTATATAATGAAAACATTGACCTTGTTTGAAAAACAGGGAACATGTGTGACACGTAAGTGTACCAAGAATGTGGAAAATATGAAGAAAGTTATTCTGGCTACAAATGTTTAGAATACATAACTTTACAGATTCATGTATTCTACAGAAGTTTCATGGGTTCAGGTATTGTATTCATATATAATTAGATTTTTTTGTATTCTTAAAAGGCTAACATTTGGCCGGGCGCGGTGGCTCACGCCTGTAATCCCAGCACTTTGGGAGGCCGAGGCGGGCGGATCACGAGGTCAGGAGATCGAGACCATCCCGGCTAAAACGGTGAAACCCCGTCTCTACTAAAAATACAAAAAATTAGCCGGGCGTAGTGGCGGGCGCCTGTAGTCCCAGCTACTCGGGAGGCTGAGGCAGGAGAATGGCGTGAACCCGGGAGGCAGAGCTTGCAGTGAGCCGAGATCGCGCCCCTGCACTCCAGCCTGGGCGACAGAGCGAGACTCCGTCTCAAAAAAAAAAAAAAAAAAAAAAGGCTAACATTTCAGTAACACTTTTTCATTTAGTTGGAATAAATTTTATTTCCTTTGCCTCTTGTTGACTCCTAAAAAACAGTCATTCCTTAGAGTGACTCAATCCCTTGTATTTTTTTTCAAAGCCATTTTCAATACTATTATCTCATTTTAGACATTTACATATGATATACATAGTAGGGCGTGTGTTTTCATTTTACAGATATAGAAATTGATGCCCAAAAAGTTATGTGTCTTGCCTGAGGCACTAAAATCAGTATTAGAACCTTATTTTCTCCTTTTTCCGACTGAATAAATTTTCCACGGGATTATATTGCATTTTGGAATAACATTTCATTATATATATAGAGAGAGAATTAAAATAGTATATGTATAAAGACCTCACATGTCTATCAAATATTATAGTTAAAATCTACTATTTGAGCTGTTGCAATAATTAAAAGAGTTTAATTTATTCACTTCTCTTTCTCTCTTCTTGTATTTCTCATGAATGCCTTTTATACCTATATTTCTCTTAAAAAATCCATTTTTCAGATAACATCTGTGTTTCACTGTATACAATTTTATTTTCTTGGTCTCTTTCTCTCTCCTTCTGCTTTATCATTTTTAAAAGAAAAATCAAATACCCCAGCCTGTGACTTATCTTTCGGCACAAAAAAAAAAAAACTAAACATTTGCACAACTATGGAATATTATGTCACTTTGATTGGGGATAGTATTTAGTCATATTTTAGAAGACAAATATAAATGCTTTATCCGATCAAGCAACCCAGGAAGTTGAGATAATGTGCAGAGAAGTGTGCTTAAGATAAACACAATATATATTGTTACTAATGATACAACTAGACCCATAAGTAAATGCCTCCTCAGAATCACAAAGTGTTTTAAAAATAACATCTGTAATCTCCATTAGAAAGAAATACCCGTAATAGGATAAGCAGAGCTATAAGTGAATTATATGTACTTTTTCTCTTCAGTCACCTCCAAAATCTAGAACAACATCATTTTTTACCTGAACTGGTTTCCCTAATTCCATTATTACTTGTCTCTAAAATACTTTTATACTGGCCCTATGATGATCTTTGTGAATTGAAAGGTGATCCTCTCACTCTTCTTCAATTATACATCTCAACATCAGGCCTAACTCCATTATCAGTTTTCCATCATAATGACTAAATGTATGTTGCAGCTATCCTGAACCAATAGCTCCTTCTGACTGGAACACACACTCTCTTCCAGGACCTTATGCTATTAGCTCCTATTTGGACATCAGGTAATCTACAACATCTCTGTCTTCCAGGACCTTATGCTATTACCTCCCAGTTGCACATCACGTAATCTACAACACCTTTGTCTTCCATGACCTTATGCTATTACCTCCTATTTGGACATCATGTAATCTACAACCCTCTCTCTTCCAGGACTTTATGCTATTACCACCTATTGGACATCAGGTAATCTACAGCCCTCTCTTTTCCAGCACCTTATGATATTACCTCCCATTTGGACATCAGGTAAACTACAGCCCTCTCTTCCAGGACCTTATTCTATTACCTCCTATTTGGACATCAGGTAATCTAAAACACTTTTGTCTTCCGGGACCTTCTGCTATTACCTCCTATTTGGAAATCAGGTAATCTACAACACTTTTGTCTTCCAGGACCTTATGCTATTACCTCCTACTTGGACATCAGGTAATCTACAACACTTCTGTCTTCCAGGACCTTATGCTATTACCTCCTATTTGGACACCAGGTAATCTACAACAACTTTGTCTTCCAGGACCTTACGCTATTACCTCCTACTTGGACATCAGGTAATCTAAAACACCTTTGTCTTCCAGGACCTTCTGCTATTACCTCCTATTTGGAAATCAGGTAATCTACAACACCTTTGTCTTCCAGGACCTTATGCTAGTACCTCCTACTTGGACATCAGGTAATCTAAAACACCTTTGTCTTCCAGGACCTTCTGCTACTACCTCCTATTTGGAAATCAGGTAATCTACAACATCTTTGTCTTCCAGGACCTTATGCTATTACCTCCTACTTGGACATCAGGTATTCTAAAACATCTTTGTCTTCCAGGACCTTATACTATTACCTCCTATTTGGACATCAGGTAATCTACAAAACCTTTGTCTTGCAGGACCTTATGCTATTAACTCCTATTTGGACATAAGGTAATCTACAACACCTGTATCTTCCCGGAGCTTATAGTATTACCTCCTATTTAGAAATCAGGTAATCTACAACGCTCTCTCTTCCATGGCCTTATGCTATTTCCTCCTATTTGGACATCAGGTAATCTACAACACCTTTGTCTTCCAGGATCTTATGCTATTACCTCCTCTTTGGACATCATGTAATCTACAACCCTCTCTCTTTCAGGACCTTATGCTATTACCTCCTATTTGGACATCGGGTAATCTAAAGCCCTCTCTCTTCCAGTACCTTACGATATTACCTCCTATATGGACATGAGGTAATCTACAGCCCTCTCTTCCAGGACCTTATTCTATTACCTCCTATTTGGACATCCGGTAACCTACAACAACTTTGTCATCCAGAACCTTATGCTATTACCTCCTATTTGGACATCAGGTAATCTACAACACCTTTGACTTCCAGGACCTTATGCTATGACCTCTTATTTGGAAATCAGGTAATCTACAACACCTTTGTCTTCGAGGACCTTATGCTATTACCACCTGTTTGGACTTCAGGTAATCTACAACACCTTTGTCTTCCAGGACCTTAAGCTATTACCTCCCATTTGGACATCAGGTCATCTACAACCCTCTCTCTTCCAGGACCTTATGCGATTACCTCCTACTTGCACATCAGATAATCTACAACCCTCTCTCTTCCCGGGCCTTATGCTCTTACCTCCTATTTGGACATGAGGTAATATAAAACCCTCTCTCTTCCAGGACCTTATGTGATTACCTCCTACTTGGACATCAGGTAATCTACAGCCCTCTCTCTCCAATGACCTTATCCTATTACCTCCTATTTGGACACCAGGTAATCTACAGCCCTCTCTTCCAGGACATTATGCTATTACCTGCTATTTGGACATCAGGTAATCTACTGCCCTCTCTCTTCCGTGATCTTATGCTATTTCCTCCTATCGGGATATCAGGTAATCTACAACACCTTTGTATCCCAGGACCTTATGCTATTACCTAATATTTGGACATCAGATGATCTACAACCCTCTCTCTTGCAGGATCTTATGCTATTACCTCCTATTGGACATCGGGTAATCTACAACCCTCTCTCTTCCAGGACCTTATGCTATTACCTCCTATTTGGACATCAAGTAATCTACAACCCTCTCTTCCAGGACCTTATGCTATTACCTCCTATTTGGATATCAGGTAATCTACAGCCCTCTCTCTTCCAGCACCTTATGCTATTACCTCCTATTTGGACATCAGGTAATCTACAACACCTTTGTCTTCCAGGACCTTATGCTATTACCTCCTATTTGGATATCAGGTAATCTACAGCCCTCTCTCTTCCAGCACCTTATGCTATTACCTCCTATTTGGACATCAGGTAATCTACAACACCTTTGTCTTCCCGGACCTTATGCTATAACCTCCTATTTGGACATCACGTAATCTACAACACCTTTGTCTTCAAGGACCTTATGCTATTACCTCCTAATTGGACATCACGTAATCTACAACCCTCTCTTCCAGGACCTTATGGTATTACCTCCTATTTGGATATCAGGTAATCTATAGCCCTCTCGCTTCCAGCACCTTATGCTATTACCTCCTACTTGGACATCAGGTAATCTACAACACCTTTGTCTTCCAGGACCTTATGCTATTACCTCCTATTTGGACATCAGGTAGTCTACAACACCTTTGTCTTCGAGGACCTTATGCTATTACCTCCTATTTGGATATCAGGTAATCTAACAAAACCTATATCTTCCAGGACCTTATGCTATTCCCTCCTATTTGGACATCAGGTAATCTACAACAACTTTGTCTTTGAGGACCTTATGCTATTGCCTCCTATTTGGACATCAGGTAATCTACAACACCTGTGTCTTCCAGGACCTTACGGTATTACCTCCTATTTGGACATCAGGTAATCTACAACCCTCTCTCTTCCAAGACTTTATGCTATTTCCTCCTATTTGGACATCAGGTAATCTACAATACCTTTGCCTTCCAGGACCTTATGCTGTTACCTTCTATTAGAACATCATGATATCTACAAACCTCTCTCTTCCAAGACCTTATGCTATTACCTCCTACTTGGACATCAGGTTATTTTAAGCCCTCTCTCTTCCAGCACCTTATGATATTACCTCCTATTTGGACATCAGGTAATCTACAGCCCTCTCCTCCAGGACCTGATTCTATTACCTCCTATTTGGACATCAGGTAATTTACAGCCCTCTCTTCCAGGACCTTATTCTATTACCTCCTATTTGGACATCAGGTAATCTACAACAACTTTGTCTTCCAGGACCTTATGCTATTACGTCCTATTTGGACATCATGTAATCTACAACACCTTTGTCCTCCAGGACCTTATGCTATTTCCTCCTATTTAGACATCAGGTAATCTACAACACCTTTGTCTTCCAGGACCTTATGCTATTACCTCCTATTTGGACATCAAGTAATCTACAACACCTTTGTCTTCCAGGACATTATGCTATTACCTTCTATTTGGACATCAGGTAATCTACAACACCTTTGTCTTCCAGGACCTTATGCTATTTCCTGCTATTTGGACATCAGGTAATCTCCAACACCTTTGTTTTCGAGGACCTTATGCTATTACCTCCTATTTGGACTTCAGGTAATCTACAACACCTTTGTCTTCCAGGACCTTATGCTATTACCTCCCATTTGGACATCAGGTCATCTGCAACCCTCTGTCTTCCAGGACCTTATGCGATTACCGCCTACTTGGACACCGGATAATCTACAACCCTCTCTCTTCCCGGACCTTATGCTCTTACTTCCTATTTGGACATCAGGTCATCTGCAACCCTCTCTCTTCCAGGACCTTATGCGATTACCGCCTACTTGGACACCGGATAATCTACAACCCTCTCTCTTCCCGGACCTTATGCTCTTACTTCCTATTTGGACATCAGGTAGTATACAACCCTCTCTGTTCCAGAACCTTATGTGATTACCTCCTATTTGGACATCAGGTAGTCTACAAGACCTTTGTCTTCCAGGACCTTATGCTATTACTTCCTATTTGGACATCCGGTAATGTACTACCCTCTTTCTTCCAGGACCTTATGCTATTTCCTCCTATTTGGACATCAGGTAATCTGCAACACCTTTGTCTTCCAGGATATTATGCTATTACCCCCTATTTAGAAATCATGTAATCTACAACCCTCTCTCTTACAAGGACCTTATGCTATTACCTCCTATTTGGACATCAGGTAATCTACTGCCCTCTCTTCCAGGACCTTATGCTATTAACTCCTATTTGGAACTCAGGTAATCTACAACACCTTTGTCTTCCAGGACCTTATGCTATTACCTCCTATTTGGACATCAGGTAATCTACAACACCTTTGTCTTCGAGGACCTTATGCTATTATCTCCTATTTGGATATCAGGTAATCTAACAAAACCTTTATCTTCCAGGATCTTATGCTATTCCCTCCTATTTGGACATCAGGTAATCTACAACAAGTTTGTCTTTGAGGACCTTATGCTGTTGCCTCCTATTTGGACATCAGGTAATCTACAACACCTTTGTCTTCCAGGACTTTATGCTATTACCTCCTATTTGGACATCAGGTAATCTACAACACCTTTGTGTTCAAGGACTTTATGCTATTATCTCCTATTTGGACATCAGGTAATCTACAACCCTCTCTCTTCCATGACTTTATGCTATTTCCTCCTATTTGGACATCAGGTAATCTACAATACCTTTGCCTTCCAGGACCTTATGCTGTTACCTTCTATTAGAACATCATGTAATCTACAACCCTCTCTCTTCCAGGACCTTATGCTATTACCTCCTACTTGGACATCAGGTTATCTTAAGCCCTCTCTCTTCCAGCACCTTATGATATTACCTCCTATTTGGACATCAGGTAATCTACAGCCCTCTCCTCCAGGACCTTATTCTATTACCTCCTATTTGGACATCAGGTAATTTACAGCCCTCTCTTCCAGGACCGTATTCTATTACCTCCTATTTGGACATCAGGTAATCTACAACACCTTTGTCTTCCAGGACCTTATGCTATTACGTCCTATTTGGACATCATGTAATCTACAACACCTTTGTCCTCCAGGACCTTATGCTATTTCCTCCTATTTGGACATCAGGTAATCTACAGCCCTCTCTTCCAGGACAGTATGCTCTTACCTGCTATTTCGACATCAGGTAATCTACTGCCCTCTCTCTTCCATGATCTTATGCTATTTCCTCCTATTTGGACATCAGTTAATCTACAACGCCTTTGTCTACCAGGACCTTATGCTATTACCTCCTATTTGGATATCAGATAATGTACAACGCTCTCTCTTTCAGGACTTTATGCTATTACCTCCTATCTGCACATCGGGTACTCTACAACCCTCTCTCTCCCAGGACCATACGCTATTAGCTCCTGTTTGGACATCAGGTAATCTACTGCCCTCTCTCTTCCATGACATTATGCCATTTCCTCCTATTTGGACATCAGGTAATCCACAACACCTTTGTCTCCCAGGACCTTATGCTATTACTTCCGATTTAGACATCAGGTAATCTACAACACCTTTGTATTCCAGGATCTTATGCTATTACCTCCTATTTGGACATCAGGTAATCCGCAACACCTTTGTCTTCCACGACCTTATGCTATTTCTTCCCATTTGGACATCAGGTCATCTACAACCCTCTCTCTTCCAGGACCTTATGGGATTACCGCCTACGTGGACATCAGGTAATCTACAACCCTCTCTCTTCACGGACCTTATGCTCTTACCTCTGATTTGGACATGAGGTAATACACAACCCTCTCTGTTCCAGAACCTTATGCGATTACATCCTATTTGGACATCAGGTAGTCTGCAAGAACTTTGTCTTCCAGGAACTTATGGTATTACCTCCCATTTGGACATCCGGTATTCTACTACCCTCTTTCTTCCAGGACCTTACGCTATTTCCTCCTATTTGGACATCATGTAATCTGCAAAACCTTTGTCTTCCGGGATGTTATGTTATTACCCCCTATTTCGAAATCATGTAATCTACAACCCTCTCTCTTCCAGGACCTTATGCTACTACCTCCTATTTGGACATCGGGTAATCTAAAGCCCTCTCTCTTCCAGCACCTTATGATATTACGTACTATTTGGACATCAGGTAATCTACTGCCCTCTCTCTTCCATGACCTTATGCTATTTCCTCCTATTTGGACATCAGGTAATCTACAACACCTTTGTCTCCCAGGACCTTATGCTATTACCTCCTATTTAGACATCAGGTAATCTACAACACCTTTGTCTTCCAGGACCTTATGCTATTACCTTCTATTTGGACATCAGGTAATCTACAACACCTTTGTCTTCCAGGACCTTATGCTATTACCTTCTATTTGGACATCAGGTAATGTACAACACCTTTGTCTTCCAGGACCTTATGCTATTTCCTCCTATTTGGACATCAGGTAATCTCCAACACCTTTGTTTTCGAGGACCTTATGCTATTACCTCCCATTTGGACATCAGGTCATCTGCAAGCCTTTCTCTTCCAGGACCTTATGTGATCACCGCCTACTTGGACATCGGGTAATCTACAACCCTCTCTTCCCGGACCTTATGCTCTTACTTCCTATTTGGACATCAGGTAGTATACAACCCTATCTGTTCCAGAACCTTATGCGATTACCTCCTAATTGGACATCAGGTAGTCTACAAGACCTTTCTCTTCCAGGACCTTATGCTATTACTTCCTATTTGGACATCCGGTAATCTCCTACCCTCTTTCTTCCAGGACCTTATGCTATTTCCTCCTATTTGGACATCAGGTAATCTGCAACACCTTTGTCTTCCAGGATGTTATGCTATTACCCCCTATTTAGACATCATGTAATCTACAACCCTCTCTCTTCCAAGGACCTTATGCTATTACCTCCTATTTGGACATCATGTAATCTACTGCCCTCTCTTCCAGGACCTTATGCTATTAACTCCTATTTGGAACTCAGGTAATCTACAACAACTTTGTCTTCCAGGACCGTATGCTATTACCTCCTCTTTGGACATCAGGTAATCTACTGCCCTCTCTCTTTCATGATCTTATGCCATTTCCTCCTATTTGGACATCAGGTAATCTACAACACCCTGTATCACAGGACTTTATGCTATCACCTCCTATTTGGATATCAGGTAATCTACAACACCTTTGTCTTTGAGGACCTTATGCTATTATCTCCTATTTGGACATCAGGTAATCTAACAACACCTTTGTCTTCCATGACTTTATGCTATTACCTCCTATTTGGACATCAGGTAATCCAGAACATCTTTTTCTTCAAGAACTTTATGCTATTATCTCCTATTTAGTCATCAAGTAATCTATAACACCTTTGTCTTCCAGGGCCTTATGCTATTACCTTCTATTTGGACATCAGGCAATCTACAACAACTTTGTCTTCCAAGACCTTATGCTATTTCCTCCTATTTGGACATCAGGTAATCTACAACACCTGTGTCTTCCAGGACCTTACAGTATTACCTCCTATTTGGACATCAGGTAATCTACAACCCTCTCTCTTCCATGACTTTATGCTATTTCCTCCTATTTGAACATCATGTAATCTACAACCCTCTCTCTTCCAGGACCTTATGCTATTACCTCCTACTTGGACATCAGGTAATGTAATGCCCTCTCTCTTCCAGCACCTTATGATATTACCTCCTATTTGGACATCATGTCATCTACAGCCCTCTCTCTTCCATGATCGTATGCTATTAAATCCTATTTGGACATCAGGTAATCTACTGCCCTCTCTCTTCGAAGACCTTAAGCTATTTCCTCCTATTTGGACATCACGTAATCTACAACACCTTTGTCTCCCAGGACCTTATGCTACTGCCTCCTATTTCGACATCAGATAACCTACAACCCTCTCTCTTGCAGGACCTTATGCTATTACCTCCTATTGGATATCAAGTAATCTACAACCCTCTCTCCCCCAGGACTTTATGCTATTAACTCCTGTTTGGACATCAGGTAATCTACTGCTCTCTCTCTTCCATGACCTTATGCTATTTCCTCCTATTTGGACATCAGGTAATGTACAACACCTTTGTCTCTCAGGACCTTATGCTATTACCTCCTATTTGGACATCAGGTAATCTACAACCCTCTCTCTTGCAGGTCCTTATGCTATTACCTCTTATTTGGACATCAGGTAAACTACAACACCTTTGTATTCCAGGACCTTATGCTATTACCTGCTATTTGGACATCAGCTAATCTACAACACCTCTGTCTTCCGGGGCCTTATGCTATTACCTTCTATTTGGACATCAGGTAATCTACAACACCTTTGTCTTCCAGGACCTTATGCTATTTCCTATTTGGACATCAGGTAATCTACAACACCTTTGTTCTCGAGGACCTTATGCCATTACCTCCTGTTTGGACTTCAGGTAATCTACAACACCTTTGTCTTCCAGGATCTTATGCTATTACCTCCCATTTGGACATCAGGTCATCTACAACCCTCTCTCTTCCAGGACCTTATGCAATTACCACCTACTTGGACATCAGGTAATCTACAACCCTCTCTCTTCCCGGACCTTATGCTCTTACCTGCTATTTGGACATCAGGTAATATGCAACCCTCTCTGTTCCAGAACCTTATGCGATTACATCCTATTTGGACATCAGGTAGTCTACAAGACCTTTCTCTTCCAGGACCTTATTCTATTACCTCCTATTTGGACATCCGGTAATTTGCTACCCTCTTTCTTCCAGGACCTTATGCTATTTCGTCCTATTTGGACATCAGGTAATCCACAACACCTTTGTCTTCCAGGACGTTATGCTATTACCCCCTATTTACAAATCATGTAATCTACAACCCTCTCTCTTCCAGGACCTTATGCTATTACCTCCTGTTTGAACATCAGGTAATCTACTGCCCTCTCTTCCCGGACCTTAGGCTATTAACTCCTATTTGGACCTCAGGTAATCTACAACACCTTTGTCTTCCAGAAACTTATGCTATTACCTCCTATTTGGACATCAGGTAATCTAGTGCCCTCTCTCTTTCATGCCCTTAGGCCATTTCCTCCTAGTTGGACATCAGGTAATCTACAACACCTTTGTCTCCCAGGACCTTATGCTATTACCTCCTATTGGGGCATCAGGTAAATCACAACACCTTTGTCTTCCATGACCTTATGCTATTTCCTCCTATTTGGACAGCAGGTTATCTACAACACATTTGTCTTCCAGGACCTTATACTATTACCTCCTATTTGGACATCATGTAATCTACAACCCTCTCTCTTCCAGGACCTTATGCTATTACCTCCTATTTGGACATCAAGTAATCTACAGCCCTCTCTTCCAGGACCTTATTCTATTACCTCCTATTTGGACATCAGGTAATCGAAAACACCTTTGTCTTCCAGGACCTTATGCTATTACCTCCTATTTGGACATCGGGTAATCTACAACACCTTTGTCTTCGAGGACCTTATGCTCTTACCTCCTATTTGGACATCAGGTAATCTACACACCATCGTCTTCCAGGACCTTATGCTATTACCTCCTATTTGGACATCAGGTAATCTACAACACCTGTATCTTCCAGGACCTTACGGTATTACCTCCTATATGGACATCAGGTAATCTACAACACTCTCTCTTCCATGACCTTATGCTATTTCCTCCTATTTGGACATCAGGCAATCTACAACACCTTTGTTGTTTCAGGTCTTCATGCTATTACCTCCTCTTTGGACATCATGTCATCTACAACCCTCTCTCTTACAGGACCTTACGCTATTACCTCCTATTTGACATCGGGTAATCTAAAGCTCTCTCTCTTCCAGCACCTTATGATATTACCTCCTATTTGGACATCAGGTAATCTACAACACGTTTGTCTTCCAGGACCTTATGCTATTACCTCCTATTTGGACATCAGGTAATCTACGACACCTTTGTCTTCCAGGACCTTATGCTATTACCTCCTATTTGGATATCAGGTAATCTACAACACCTTTGTCTTCCAGGACCTTATGCTATTACCTCCTATTTGGACATCAGGTAATCTACAACACCTTTTTCTTCCAGGACCTTATGCTATTTCCTCCTATTTGGACACCAGGCAATCTACAACACCTTTGTCTTCGAGGACCTTATGCTGTTACCTCCTATTTGGACTTCAGGTAATCTACAACACCTTTGTCTTCCAGGACCTTATGCTATTTCCTCCTATTTGGACACCAGGCAATCTACAACACCTTTGTCTTCGAGGACCTTATGCTGTTACCTCCTATTTGGACTTCAGGTAATCTACAACACCTTTGTCTTCCAGGACCTTATGCTATTTCCTCCCATTTGGACACCAGGTCATCTACAACCGTCTATCTTCCAGGACCTTATGCGACTACCTCCTACTTGGACATCAGATATTCTACGACCCTCTCTCTTGCAGGACCTTACGCTATTACCTCCTATTGGAGATGGGGTTATCTATAACCCTCTCTCTTCCAGGACCATAGGCTATTACTTCCTATTTGGACATCAGGTAATCTACAGCCCTCTCTCTACCAGCACCTTATGCTGTTACCTCCTATTTGGACATCACATAATCTATAACCCTCTCTTCCAGGATCTTATGCTATTACCTCCTATTTGCATATCAGGTAATCTACAGCCCTCTCTTCTAGGACCTTATGCTATTACCTCCTATTTGGACATCAGGTAATATAATAACACCTTTGTCTTCCAGGACTTTATGCTATTCCCTCCTCTTTGGACATCAGGCAATCTACAACACCTTTGTCTTCCAAGACCTTATACTATTACCTCCTATTTGGACATCGGGTAATTTACAACACCTTTGTCTTCCAGGACCTTATGCTATTACCTCCTATTTGGACATCAGGTAATCTACAACACCTTTGTGTTCGAGGACCTTATGCTATTACCTCCTATCTGGACATCAGGTAATCTACAACACCTTTGTCTTCCAGGACCTTATGGTATTACCTCCTATTTGGACATCAGGTAATCTACAACGCTCTCTCTTCCATGACCTTATGCTATTTCGTCCTATTTGGACATCAGGTAATCTACAACACCTTTGTCTTCCAGGACCTTACGCTGTTACCTCTTATTTGGACATCATGTAATCTACAACCCTCTCTCTTCCAGGACCTTATGCTACTACCTCCTATCTGGACATCGGGTAATCTAAAGCCCTCTCTCTTCCAGCACCTTATGATATTACCTACTATTTGGACATCAGGTAATCTACAGCCCTCTCTCTTCCTTGACCTTATGCTATTTCCTCCTATTTGGACATCAGGTAATCTACAACACCTTTGTCTCCCAGGACCTTACGCTATTACCTCCTATTTGGACATCAGGTAATCTACACCCCTCTCTCTTCCATGCCCTTATGCTATTTCCTCCTATTTGGATATCAGGTAATCTACAACTCCTTTGTCTCCCAGCACCTTATGCTTTTACCTCCTATTTAGACATCAGGTAATGTACACCACCTTTCCCTGAAAAATACAGCGTGGGTAGAATGTGCTGGTAACACACGGAATGATTCCCTATCTTGTAGTTTATCTCACTAATTGGGATGATTTCCTTATCTTTTTACCCACTTGGCTAGAAGCTCTTCATGATTACACAATGACTTGTTCATCATTGTATCACGGAATCTAACAAATACACCTTCAATAAATATTAGATTAATCAATGAATGTCCATAGCTACATTTTATTTCACTGTTATGAACTGTGAAAACCTTAGCAAATACAGTTGCTATCTTCATCATGGACACTGCATGTAGAGAATGTAGGTCACCTCTGGCCAGTTAAATTTGTGCATATTTATGTGATGGGACGTGGAGAGAAAATGAGGGAGGAGTAAAATTAAAATAATGTATGTATAGATACCTTGTTTGATATGTATACCAAGTATTATAGTTAAACTCTACTATTTGAGCTATTGCAATAGATAAAATAGTTGTAGTTTTATTCTCACTCTGAACTTTAGATGTGTGCTATATACATTACATTTCCCAAATTATTTCAGTTTTAATTATAACACAGAAGACAATAAAACCAAAGGAAATATTACATGAATTATTAATATAATACAATGAAATAGCATAAGACAACATATTTTAAAACAGGTATTTGTGGCTTAATAATAGTATTCCCGATCAGGTTTCTGTCAGGGCTAAACTGAAACTAGTAAAATAATATGTCTGCTTTATGGAAGAGCATTGATAAAACATTTTCATGACTGATGATAAATTTGAGCTAGCTTACTAAAAAACAAATTATTCAGCTACACAGTGATGTTCCCATAGAACATGTTTGCATGATCCTCAAGTTCACTGCTAGAGAGACTCGAAATAATAATCAGGTCATAAAGCCAGAGAAAGGCATTTTAGATTGCCATATATTAATAATTTGCACTGAGAAGTTTAAGAATTACAATAGAGGCTGAGCTTTAGTAATCCTTCTTGGCTAAGAATGGGAATAATTAGGAAGGCTTCAAACAGTCTGTCTCTGTAAAGTTCAGCATCGTAAATGGGAGAGAGCAAGAACATCGGAAGTTGTTCAATGGCTTCAGTGAACAGATCTAGTCAAGCAAGTTTCACCCTCTGACACAAACTGGGTTTTCCTGATGAAAATTGAAGCTCCTTTTGCAAAGAGCATTTTGATTCTTGCATACTTTTCACCTGCTTGAACAAATCGTATTGCTAAGTAGTGATGTACCTGCCTTAAATCACTTGGCCTTTCAAATTTGTTATTCATTTAGAAGCAAACTGGAAATCTTTTCAAAGTGAGCCAAAAGACAGTATTTCAAATGTTTATATTAATTTTATAACTTTTCCATAAATTATATATGGAAATAATAATAATATATATTATATATAATTCAAGGCAGAATCTTGATTATATTTGAAAAACTAAGTCATTCAATTGTCAGAGGAGCCTTGAACCTTGAAACTGAATTTCTGAAATCTTGAATCTGAATTTCTGAAACATATCACTATCGCTTCCACTGAATTATGTATGTCTGTAAGATATTTTCAACTAAACATGTTTACAGAATTTTCATTTTATTACAGTAAATGAAACCCCTTATCTGGAGTTTTGCTTTTTGAGGTTTCAGTTACTAGAAGTCAGCATGGGCTGAAAATAGGTGATTACAGCACTGTAGTATACTTGGAGAGAAGGAGACCACATTCACATAATTTTATTACAGTTTTTTTATAATCGTCCAATTTATTAGATACTGTGAGTCTCCTACTGTGCCTAATTTGTAAATTAAACTTTATTAAAGACATGTATGCATAAGAAAAAACATAGTATATGTAGGGTTCAATACTGTCCGGGACTTCAGACAATTACTGAGGGTCTTGGAATGTATCCCCATGGATAAGAGGGGGCTACTGTATTCTACTCCAAAATAATCCTTATCAGCATTAGGAAGAACAAAATCAATTCGAGTTAATGTAGGAAACCACTCACTTCACAATTTGGATATCTGCTTTTTCACACTCTTGGCAACTTCAGAAGTGTGCTCCTGGCTTGTGAGCAAGACAGCAATAAATCAATTCCAACTAGTACTTGACATAACTCAGACCCAACCTGGAAATCTTATGACGAGCATCCAGTCACCTTGAGCAAGTCCAGCTGCTAAGGGACCTTTTCTGAGCACTGGAGTTACCCTCACGTCTACTGAAGCCGGATTCCGAAAGGTGTCTGCTACCATGCATGATTCACTCAGCACACTCACTCAGGAGCCCAGATCCATGAAGAAGGAAGCATTTTAAAAAGTCTTGGCTGGGCGCAGTGGCTCATGCCTGTAATCCCAGCACTTTGGGACGTGGAGGTGGGAGGATCACGAGGTCAGGAGATCGAGACCATCCTGGCTAACACGGTGAAACCCCGTCTCTACTAAAAATACAAAAAATTAGCCAGGCATGGTGGTGGGTGCCTGTGGTCCCAGCTACTCCAGAGGCTGAGGCAGGAGAATGGCATGAACCCGGGAGGTGGAGCTTGCAGTGAGCCAAGATCGCACCACTGCACTCCAGCCTGGGCAACAGAGCGAGACTCCATCTCAAAAAAAAAAAAAAAGTCTTAAAAGGACTATTCATTCAAACTAACCAATGCTAGCGATTTGACTATTACACTTTAAGCTCTCTAATAAGTTTGGATGATGTGAAGAATGTTCAGCTTTATTACATATATCTAAAAGTTGTAGAAAGGCTTTCCACATGTCCTCAAAAATAAGACAAGGCAATTTTGTAGCACCACTTCAGTAATTTTCACCAAGGCATTTATTGAAAATATTCAGGTTGAGAATTGTTCCTGTGCTTTTCTAATAAAGAGTAGTCTCTAGTACAGAAGCATATCCTCCTTTTCTTCTTTCTTCTGAAAAATACAGGGAGGAAGATAAATACTTAACCCTTAAACTCTGTTTGTGTGTGTGTGTGTGTGTGCATACATTTTAGAAACACCTAATGGTTTTAGTTTCCAGGAGTAAACTACCACTGTTGAAATCAATAAGTGATACAGTGGCATTCCCGTCTGACATGGGATGTCAATTGAAAGCTTCTTGGATTAAGCAACGATTCAAGGAAACACAAACACACATGCAAAACACACTAAGGGAAAGAAGTAAAGAAGAAAAGAAGTAAAAGCAGAAATTGCTTTCTGTCATATTTCCCATATAAATTAATGAGTTATTGTAAAGTTCCTAATGGTTCTTTGGATGGTAGGTCTTATAATCCCAATAAAATATTTATTTCATTATGAGATTTGTTATTATTTTCTGAATTTACCAAGATTTTGCAGTGGTGCTTTCTCTTAGTACTTCTTGGATGTGACTTATGGCCTCTCTATTAAATTTCATATATTTCAAACACGTAGATAATTAACAATCAACTGATACTTGACCAAAATCTCAGAGTATGATTGTCTATAGGAATAAGAATAGTACTTATTCTAGATCAATTATGTTTCACAATATGGGACCCATTAAATCTTTGTTATTGCATTTCTTCCAAAATTATGAATAAAATGCCTGGAGATTTCCTGTTAGTCCAATTTGAAGAGCTGTCAATGTTTTATAAGCTACTTATTCTCCACCTTTCTGATGCTACTAAATAGCTTCAGAGCACACACAAGAATATTATCCTTCTTGTACTTCTGAGTTAGGATTGCTTGAACGAAGAGCTACACAGAGGAGTTTCAGAAGTACTAAAGTCCTCTCTTTTTTTTTTTTTTTTTTGACAGAGTCTCGCTCTGTCAACCAGGCTGGAGTGCAGTGGCATAATCTCAGATCACTGCAACCTCCACCTTCCGGGTTCAAGTGATTCTCCTGCCCCAGTCTCCTGAGTAGCTGGGATTACAGGTGTACACGACCAAGCCCAGCTAATTTTTGTATCTTTAGTAGAGATGGGGTTTCACTATGTTGGCCAGGCTGGTCTCGAACTCCTGACCTCATGATCCTCCCACCTCAGCCTCACAAAGTGCTGGGATTACAGGCCTGAGCCACTGTGCCTGGCCTAAAACGCTCCTTGAGGCTAAAAATACTTCCCCCGTGCCACCCGTGTTATTTTGAAGCTAAAATAAACTTCCTTAGAAGATCTGAAATGTCACCATTGGTACGAGTCTTTCAAGAAAACAGGACATAGTGTCTCTAGAGTGTTATCTAAGTAGAATAAATAGTGTATATGGGGATATCTGTATAAACTCTTCACCCAGATAGCCCACTCTAGCCGGGGGCAAGTCTAGGAATTAGAAAGCTTTTTGGTATTTTGAATATAAATCCTCACATTTTCTTTCACATCCTCCATGTCTTTCTGTCTCACTTCACTCTTCTTTTCCTTCTGTCTCCTAAAATGTTCAGCGCTGTCCAATCCCTTCATTCCATCACCATGTCCTGACGCATTGTTCTCTAGGCACAGACCTTTCACATTCCCCAGTATTCTTCCTCCCCAAATCTGGCCATTTCCCCACCTATCTCCTAGGACCATCTTCCAAGCCAGACAGTGCTCCCCCGCTCAAAGGATTTTCTTCATCTTCCACTTTCTCCAAGTCTTCCGGCTAGTCACCCTCCCCTTCTGAAACAGGACTCCCTCATGCTCTCTGGACTCTGGGCTTTCTTGCTTTGTCTCATTGGCCTCTGTCTTCTTACTGGTAAATCTTTGACCTGCTGATCCTTACTCATGGGAATCTTACAGGGTCTGCCCTGGGCCAAGCACTCTGTTTTCCCTATTAACATATCCACTTTCTTTACTCAAATGACTTTTCTACTAATATCATTTTTTGCCCTACCCTCACATCTGGGCCCCTTCACAATATTTCTTTTTCTGTTGAATATGACCTTGATATTTCAAGCTCAGCACATCCTGAACAATTCATTTTTTCCATCCCATATCCATCTTTCGAATGTCTCTATTTTTTTTTTTGGTACTTCTATATTTGTCACAAGTTCCCTGGCCAAAAGACTCAGATTCACTACATATTATTGTGATTATCTTCCTTCATCACTTACTTTCCATTTGTTACTGGGTCCTGTTGTTTCTTCCTTTA
Organism: Homo sapiens; assembly: GCF_000001405.40. Taxonomy (NCBI): domain Eukaryota; kingdom Metazoa; phylum Chordata; class Mammalia; order Primates; family Hominidae; genus Homo; species Homo sapiens. Next base: position 156,616 of record NT_187545.1, on the reverse strand, counting down.
AAGTTCTTTTAGGGATCAGGCCCTTTTATTTCATCTCCATTGCTACAACCTGGTGCCATACGCCAGTTCTGCCCAGTCAGTCGCCATCATTCTGCACATTTGCCCAAATAGTCTAATTCAAAAGGCCACTTTCTGTATATCCTCCTCAGGATTCAGACCCCTTTTCTCAGATATTAAGACCTTATCCTTACTCAGCACAGACAATTTTGAACATGCATCTTCACTCCTAACAACAAAGGCACATTTGCTATTTGCTTTCCTTTCCTTATTATTATGTCTAATATGAATTATTTACATTTTACATCAAGTTTTCGGGGTGTGTGTGTGTGTGTGTAAAACAGATGAGTCTGGCACCAAAGGGTGAACATTGGTCACAGGTTGGGGAAGAGAAACTATAAGGATTTGGTACATTGGTATATTTCTTTTCACACAGGAGTATGTTTTTTCTCGTTTGACTCTTTGTAGGAAATACGGCTTTCAAATCAAGGTTTGTAATAATGAGGTGTAAGGGAGGGAAGTCAGTGATTCTGATTTAAAACTCGTACTCAGGCTTTAAAATGTTTTAAACGTAATGATGTTTAAACATTCTTTTAAAAAAAAAAAAACTTTCCAAACTAGCAACAGAATTAACTAAGAGCAATGTCAGATATAAAGATTATTTGCAATTTTGGTATTATTACTGTTTCCACATGAGACTGTATTCAAGTTCAAGAATAAATTCAGCAGAAAAATGGGTAGGTTTTGTGAGTATAACTCAGTCAAGATATGAGAAAGACTTTTAAAAAAATTCATATGTGTAAATGAAAGAGGAGAAATTAATGGTAAGTCCTTTTAGTTTCTATGTGAAAGTCGCATGACATCGTAGGAAGATCAGAGGGCTAAGAGTGACTTAGGGCAAGGCATTTCATCTCAGCTTGGTGGCTTGAAAGGGTGATTATAACTCTTTCACGTTCCTCTCCAACCCTAAAATTCTATAACTTTTTAAATTTGGTCCTATTACTCACATTCACTTTTCAAATTTTTACCACTTGGTTTATTGGAACAACTGAAAAAAGATCCAGTGTGAAAGGCAGATGATAGAAATGGCAAGGGCGGGCTGGGCATGGTGGCTCACACCTGTAATCCCAGCACTTTGGGAGGCCGAGGCAGATGGATCACCTAAGGTCAGGAGTTCGAGACCAGCCTGGCCAACGTGGCGAAACCCCATCTCTACTAAAACTACAAAAAAAAAAAAAAAGTTAGCTGGGCATGGTGGCAGGTGCCTGTAATCGCAGTTACTCGGGAGGCTGAGGCAGGAGAACCTCTTGAACTCGGGAGGCTGAGGTTGCAGTGAGCCAAGACTGCACCATTGCACTCCAGCTTGGGAGACAGAGTGAAACTCTGTCTCAAAAAAAAAAAAGAAAAAGAAAAAGAAAAAAAGAAATGATAAGGGCAATGTATGGATTAAACTGAGTACTTAGGGATCCAGTGCCAGGAAGAAATGCAGGGAACAGAGGTTGGAGGGCTCTGAAAACTGGGTGGTAGTTGACGCATTGAGGAAGAAGACAAGATTTTGAAGTACTACCAAAGTGGAGGAAAGCGCCCTATTTGTCTGCAGAATTCTCCGGCTTGGATTGAAGGCAACTTGGAGACAGCAGCCTCTCTTTTAGCTCTGGCCCCCAAAGCTCAGAGCTGGGAGGGCCATCCACCATCCCAAGCTCGCCCCTCTCCTCTCTCAAGCCGCGCTCTGCAGGGTAAGGACTGTGAAGGCAGCAGGTGCGGGGAGCGTGAGCTTCAAGGCAGGGACCTCTCTTTCTAAGGTGGTGAGGAAAAGACTGGCTTCTTTTTCTCTGTATCTCCTGCTTGGAGCAGCCGCAGTTGCAGGATGTGCACAGCAGAGCTGAGTAACTAAAAGCCCAGCTTTCTGGCTAGATGATCAAAACGAGGAAAGGAGAAGCTGTGGCCAGGGAGATCCTGGAAAGGGAGGAGCTTGGGAAGACAGCCTCACAGTGTGGCTTGGGCAGAGGAACGGATCAATGGCACAGGATAAAGGAACTGGACATAGACCTGCATAGGTGCAGTCAACTTAATTTTTTAAAATGAAAATGCAAAGCAATCCCATAGAGGAAGATTAGAATTTGCAACAAAAGATGTTGGGAAAATTAAACACTGTAGGCCAAAAAAGAAAACACACAAACAAAAAGCTAGACCTAAACTTCACACTTTCTATAAAAATTAACTCAAAATAGATCATAGATCTAAATGTAAAGTGTGAAACTACAACATTTCTAGAAGAAAACACAGGAAAAAAATCTTCCTGTGCAAGAGTTAGACAAAAAGTTGTCATGTCTAAGAAAGAAAAAAATTGGTAATATGGACTTCATCAAACTTTCAAACTTCAGTTCTAAGTAGGGCTTGTTAGGAGGATAAAAAGTTAGCTATTGCCTGGAAGAAATATTTACAAATCACATACCTAAGAACTTTTATCCAGACCATATAAAGAATGCTGCAACCTCAACAACAAGAAAACAGGCAAAACATTTGTTGACACTTCATCAAGGAAGGTATAGAGATAGCAAATAAGCACATAAAAAGATGTTCACCATCATTAGCCATTAGGGAAATGTAAATTAAAGCTACAATGAGACATCAATGCACACCTAATAAGTGGCTAAAATAAAAATACTGACAATACTGTGTGCTGACAAGCACGCAGAGCAGCAGGCTTTCTCATGCACTGCTGATGGAAATGGAAAACAGCATAACCATTGTGGAAGGTGGTATGGCTGTTTCCTACAAAGTTAAAAACATATTTGCAATGCAATCCAGGCCTCCTGGGTATTTATGCTACAGAAGTGAAACACACAGTCACACAGGAATGTGAACACAGATGTTCATTGCTGCTTCATGTGTAGCAGCCCACAACTTGAAACCACTCAAACATCCTTCAACCTGTGAATAAATAGACAAACTGTGACACAAAACAAAGAAACAAACTATCAATGCAGGCAACAGCTTAGGTGGATTTGTAGGGCTTTATGCTGAATGAAAAAAAAGCAATCTCAAAATGGTGCTACCTACATTATTCTACTTACGTACCATTCTTTTTTTTTTTGTTTTTGAGACAGAGTGTCACTCTGTCACCCAGGCTGGAGTGCAGTGGTGCGATCTCAGCTCACTGCAAGCTCCACCTCCTGGGTTCAAGCCATTCTCCTGCCTCAGCCTCCCAAGTAGCTGGGACTACAGGCGCCCACCACCATGCCTGGCTAATTTTTTGTACTTTTTTTAGTAGAGACGGGGTTTCACCGTGTTAGCCAGGATGGTCTCGATCTCCTGACCTCATGATCCGCCCACCTTGGCCTCCCAAAGTGCTGGGATTACAGGTGTGAGCCACTGTACCCTGCCCTTACATACCATTCTTAAAGTGTAAAATTAGAGTGTGAAGACCTAACAGCTGGTGCCAAAGGTCAGAGTCAGGGAGAAAGCGTGACTGAAAGGACAAAGGAGCATCTTTGCACTGCTCCTTTCAGTCACACCTTCTCATGAGACTGATGAAGCAGTTCTGTACCCTCATTCTAACTGGGACTGGGTGGTGATGGCTGAACACATCTACAGAAATCTGTGGAAACATCTTTATCCAGAAAGATTTTCAAAGGAAGACAGAAAAAGAACTATAAACACAAAAGACAGAAAGAAAAAACTGAACTTAAATGCTGTTGAAATCTGTATGTACATGTGTTAATAGTATTGTACCTCTTAACAGCTTCCTCATTTGGACCATGCACTGAGGTCCTGGAAGATATTTTCATTAGGGGACACTGGCTTAAGAATACGCCAGAATTACGTCTGGGCACAGTGGCTCATGCCTGAATCCCAGCGCTTTGGGAAACCAAAGCAGGAGGATCCCTTGAGGCCAGGAGTTCTAAATCAGCCTGGGCAACATAGCGGACCTCATCTCTACAAAAAATTTAAAAATTAGCTGGGCATGGTGAGGGGTGATTGTAGTTCTAGCTACTCAGGAGGTTGAGGCAAGAGGATCGCTTGTTCCTGGGAGGTCGAGGCAACAGTGAGCCATGATCACACCACTGCCCTCCAGCCTGAGAGACAGAACAAGTCCGTCTCTCCAAAAAAAAAAAAAAAAAAAAAAGAATACACCAGAACTCACTATACCATTTTGCAATGTCTGGGAGGCAACGCATATTTCAAAAGAAAAGCTACAATAAAAAAAAAAAAAGAAAGGGAAAATGAATACTTAGGGACAATTAAGAGTCTACCAAATTCGATAAAATTACTTTACTGGACAACAAGGTCACACTTTCAATTTTCATATTTCCCTAACACTTAGAAGAGCAGCTTAAATGAAATTGCATTTAATAATATGTGAATATCAGAGAAAACCAGGTAATTTAAAATTAAATTGCCAACTAAATATCTTAGTAGGATGCCAAATAGTAATTATCCTATTATCACCTTTTTATTACTTCTTAAGTTTAGTTTTAAGTTTTACTACTTAAAATTATTAGCATAGGTTCCTTAAAATCAGTATGTTACTACATGCTTCTCCGTTTCTGAAAGAATTCTTCTTAAGAAAAAAAATTAGTTGAAAAATGTAATATGTCTGTATTAACTAATCAGATAAGATATCAAATTTTGTGAGGGATATTTTACTCCTAAGATTCTAATGCACCATGTTAAGCTTTATCCACAAAGATTTTCAAAGGAAGACAGAAAAAAAATCTATTTCATATTCAACATTCTGTCAAGGACTCCATATAAACTTCTCTGAAATGAAACATTTTCATTTTCAGACCGTGCGAATAACTGGTTGAATTTGGACACTCAACCCTGACCTCGGGTCCTTAGGTATATTTCACATGTTTCAGACGTGACTGATTGCCTGTTGAGTTCAATTATTCCTCCAACGCCTGAAGGATTCTGAAGAACCCTAACATTTGCAGGAAGTGACCTTGCTCCCACTCCATCATGCAACAGCTGTCAGAGATGTTTCTGTGGCCCACTCTGTCAGACGAGAAGACGATTTATCAGGTAAAACCTCTGTTGTTGGACAGTGAAATTGCAGGGCTTCATTCTTTTAAGACTCTTATTTTGGCATAAAAGATTCCAGGTGACAATAACAAAGATAAGTGTTAGTGGTTACAATGTGAGATTTATAGATGGTGTCTGTGTCCTGCAGTAGTGGAGATAGTTGGAAGATACATAAATCCTACAAATCCTACATTTTTGCTGTATTAATAAATATTTGGATGGAAACCAGGAAACATTTTCATTGTCAATTACTTGGCATTAGACTGAAAATTCCTCATGGACAAAACTTCTTATGAATCCAATTGCCCCAGCCTTGTGCACACAAGATGGCACTAGCTTGGGGGCCTGAATGGGGTTGCACTGGTGAGCAAATTAATGACAGGAAACCTACGGGAAAGGGGGTTATCAGTTGCTTTTTCTTCCCAGCACACGAAATGTACGTTTAGGTCATACTATTCAGTTTCAACTTGGGTAAGGAAGAATAGCCTAGGTGAATATATACATTTCCATTAAAAAGTAATCTTAATGCTTCTCTTTCATACCCCTGGTTTTCCTCAAGCATTTGGTGTTTTCTCCCTACCTGTCACATTGATAACTAAGCGATTAAAATGTATGGCATATGTAACTGGCATAGGTTTCCTTGACAACTATGTAGGTCTCCTTCCTCATAGTCCATTCCCAGAATGAGGGTCCCGGCAGCAGCTCTCTGAAAATGAGAGTGGGGAATGCAGGGGGTGTCACCTGTAGGGTGACTGACTGAAGAGCAGGCAGGCTGGAGGCTGGGAGTCCATAGAGTTTCCAGTTTCAGGAGCACTTTTCTCTGTGGCCCAAGGGCTTGAGTGCATTTCCTCTTCTAAGAGAGTTGCTCTTCACTTGTTTTATTTTTGCCTCCTTGCCTTTTGAGGAAGTTCTGCATTACCCAAGGCTGTGCTCAGCCTTCTCTCAGAGTCCAGCATCCGCACCAGGAGCTTTCTACACGTAGAGCACCTGCTTTACTTCGAGGACAATTCTCCAGGCTTAATTCTGGGGACAAAGGCCCGTCGTAGCCAGGCACCATTTTGAATCAGTACCAGTCTTTGTCCTGTAATTTCTTTCTACAAATTTGAGTTATACTGCTTTACAAATTATGTCTGTATCCCCATGCCATTGACTTTATTTTCTAAAAGGCATTTCTAATAGATGCATGGTATTCTATTTACTGTCACTACCAAAGTTTATTTAGTCATGCTCCTATTAGTGACCACTTGAGTATCCCCAATTTTATCATATTTAACATTGTAATGAAAAGCTTTATATAGAAATAGTTGCCATCTATAATTATTTCCTAGAAATAGAACTGTTGTTACAAAGTGAATGAACAATTTGATTGTAACACGGATTGACAAATTGTATTCTAATAGTTTATACAAAGTTACCCTCCCACTAGCAGTCTAAAAGGCTCCCTTTTTCCCCATTTTCTTCTGTTCACTTTATTTTGGTTTTTCTCCCCATCAATTGTATCAGTAGAAAATAATATCACTTTATTTAGACTTTTTTATTACTTATGCAATTAAGGTTTTTGCATTTATAGGCCACTTTTATACAATTTGAAATATCACTTTATTTAGACTTTTTTATTACTTATGCAATTGAGGTTTTTGCATTCATAGGCCACTTATATACAATTTGTGAATTGGCAATGCTATCTCCTTTTTTAAATAGAGAAATTATAATTCTTTACACTGATTTGTAAGAGTACCTTATGGAAAAGAATATTGACACTCATTCTTGTTTATAATAATGTTTGTTTAGTCAAGTCTATCTATTTTTTTTTTTGCTTTTCTTTTTTAAAAATACATATTTCACCAACAGCATCCAGGCTGAGGGTGAAATCAAGAACACAGTCCCACTTACAAAAGCCACAAAGAAAATAAAATACCTATAGGCATACAGCTAACCAAGGAGATGAACGATCTCTACGAGAAGCACAAAACACTGCTGAAAGAAATAAGAGATGAGACGACACAAATAAATGGAAAAATATCCCATGCTCAAGGATTGGAAAAACTAAAGCTGACCCAATTGTCCCATAGACAGTTTTATTCTGGTGTTTGTTTGTTTTTTTGTTTTTTTGGTTTTTGGTTTTTGGTTTTGAGATGGAGTATCGCTCTGTCACCAGGCTGGAGTGCAGTGGTGCAATCTCAGTTCACTGCACTCTCCGCCTCCCAGGTTCAAGCAATTCTCCTGCCTCAGCCTCCCAAGTAGCTGGGATTACAGGCGTGTGCCACCATGCCTGGCTAATTTTTGTATTTTTAGTAGACATGATGCTTCACCATGTTGGCCAGGATGGTCTCAATCTCTTGACCTCGTGATCTGCCCGCCTCAGCCTCCCAAAGTGCTGGGATTACAGGCATGAGCCACCACGCCCAGTCTAACAGTTTTTTTCTTTTTAATAAACATAGAAATTGACCCTTCTGGTCTTAAAGCTTGAAACTTATATTTGTTTTATCTGAGTTCCTTCCTGAGGAAATGACCTTCAGGCCTCTCACAAAAAGTGTCAAAGAACTGAAACTCAGTAGATCATCACATCCAGACAATGAAATGTTGGACCCCTCATTCATCGCGATTGCTTCCTGACACCTCCCTAGTTCCTGTTTTCTTACACAATGTTACATTCCTTCCTTGTTATATAAATCCCTGGTTTTAGTAGGTCAGAGAGATGGATTTGAGACTGAGTTCCCACCTCCTCTGCTGCAGCATCGGATTAAAGCTTCTTCCTTGGCAATACTTGCTGTCTCAGTCATTGGCTTTCTGTGCAGCAAGCAGCAGGACCTAGACTGAGCACCTGGTGTTTCAGTACCAAAACCACTATTGTAAAAATGGCCGTATTGCTCAAAGCACTTTACAGATTCAATGCTATACCTATCAAATTACCAACGTCATTCTTCACAGGATTAGAACATTTACTTTAGAAAATTTACTAAAATTAGAAAACTACTCTAAAATTTGTATTGAACCAAAAAGAGCCTGAACAGCCAAAGAAAGCCTAAGCAAAAAGAACAATGCCAGAGGCATCACTCTTTCCAACCTCATACTATACTATAAAGCCACAGTAACCAAAACAGCATGGTGCTGTTACAGAAACAGACACATAGACCAATGCAAAAGAATAGAAAACAAACAAATAAAGCTACATACCAACAACCATCTGATCTTTGACAAGGCCAACAAAAACAAGCAATGGGAAAGAACTCCCTATTCAATAAACACAGCTGGGATAACTGGCTAGCCATATGTAGCAGAATGAAACTGGACCCCTCCGTTTCACCTCATACAAAAATTAACTGAAAATACATTAAAGATTTAAATGTAAGACCTCAAACTATAAAAATTCTGGAAGGCAACCTAGGATACATTCTTCTGGACATCAGCCTTGGCAAATAATTTTTAGCTAAGTCCCCAAAAGCACTTGCAACAAAAACAAAAACGGGACAAGTGGGACCTAATTAAACTCCAGAACTTTTACATAGCAAAATAAACAGAGAGTAAAAATCAGCACAGTAAACAGGCAGTCTAGGGAATGGGAGGAGATATTCGCAAAGTATGCACCTGACAAAGGCCTAATATCCAGAATCTATAGGGAACTTAAACAGTTGAACAAACAAAACCCAATTAACCCCATTAAAAGATGGGCAAAGACATGAACAGACATTTCTCAAAGAAGACATACATCAAATGTGTGAAAAAATGCTCAGCATCGCTAATCATCAGAGAAATCCAAATCAAAACCACAATGAGATACCATCTCATACCAGTCAGAATGGCTATTATAAAAAGTCAAAAAAACAGATGCTGGCAACATTGCAGAGAAAAGGGAAAGCTTATACGCTGTTAGTGGGAATGTAAATTAGACCAATCCACTGAGGAAGCAGTCTGGAGATTTCTCAAAACTTAAAACAAAGCTACCATTTGACTCAGCAATCCCATTACTGGGTATACACTCAAAAGAAAATAAATCATTCTGCCAAAAACACATTTACACTCAGATGTCCACTGCATCACTATTCACAATAGCAAAGACATGGAATCCACACAGGCGACCATCAGTAGGAAATTGGACAAAGAAAATGTGGTACATAAACACCATGAAATACTATACGCCATAAAAAAGAATAAAATCACGTTCTTTGCAGCAACATAGATGGAGCTGGGGCGATCTAAGCAAATGAATGCAGAAACAGAAAACCAAATACCACATATTCTCACTTATAAATGGAAGCTAAGCATTGAGCACGTATGGACATAAATATGAGACACAATAGACACTGTGGACTACTAGACAGTGGAGGGAGGGAGGGAGGGAGGTTAGGTTAAAAAAGACTACCTATCAGGAACTATGCTCACTACCAGGGTGATGGGTAACGTACTTCAAACCACAGCATCATGCAATAGTCCATTGTAACAAATCTGCCCATGTACCTCCTATATCTAAATTGCAAGCTGAAATTTTTTAAAAAAGAAAAAACCCTATACAATAAAAATACATATTTGGTTTGAGATAAGTCAAATATTTTCCAGTATGTTAGTTAATTTAGAAAAATATTTCACTGATTAAGCCATTCAAATATTATTTTAGTTTTGCATGTGACATAAAAAAGGGAATCTGATGTGTGTGTGTATCAGAAATATTTATCCAATTTCTTCTCATGGTTTATTAAATTTTTCATCATTTTCCACGTGTTTAAAATGCCAGCTGCACACTATACATAAGGCATACATATTAATATTTTTCTAAAATGTATCTCAGGTCCCATTGACCTATCTATTCTCCAACTAATGTCATAATCTGGCAGGGCCAGATTATGTACTTAGCTCAAATCTTACTCTGATAGCAGTGGGAGGGTGTGTATCAAAAGGCTAAGACCAGGTAGGAAAGCAGGAAGCAAAGTTGTAAACATCAGCAGACATTTGGGAGCTGGTCGGAGGGTGTGCGTGTCTGAACTCAGTGTCCGCCCTCCCTTGCAGGCTGCAACAGTCTCAAAACAGTGCCAGTGGGTTCTCCAGAGCTACGGGTAAATGTGGTTTTGCCTACACTCAAAACCCACTTGATATGTCTCTCTCTTTCTGTTATCTCCTGTGTCATTTCTGTATCTCCGCTCAGACCTTTGAGTAGCTGTTTGGCTGCACTGGGTTCTCCATTTTGCCTTTGCTCCATAGATGTCCCCTTTGAATAAACTGTAGGTCTATGTGACCTCCATCTGGTACCCTCTTACCCAATATCCCATTTCAGGAGGAAAACCATATAGGTAATAGCATATAAAAAATGTTAAACAACAGAAAATCATTTCTTAAAAAGATACTAATGATTGGGGTATTGGGAGGTTGGTAAACGAGAGATGGTAATTTTTATAGGGAGGGTAGAGAAAGCAGTCACCTCCTGCAATTCTGCCCAGGACAACAGGACAAGAGATAGTATCACTCACTGATTTAGAAAATGCATAAGAAAGAACTGGCCTCATACTTAAGGATCATAAGTTCAGTTTTGTGTATGTTAAGATGGAATTGCCTTTTGGTGATTCCCTAAAAGGCAGTTAAATATGTGAAGCTGTAGAAAGAGAGTTGGGAGTAAAGAACATATTAGCAGTAGTTGAACCCATAGCAATGGATGAAATCACTTAGGTACATCTCATGGAATAAGAAGACGGGAAAGGCATATGTGGAAATCTAACTTTGCAAGTATGGGCAAAGGAAAGGGAGCATAATAAAGTGTCTGACAAGCAGTGGTCAGAAACTCAGCAGTAGGATAGCAATTACTATCATAAAAGCCCACCAAGAAGAAAGTACTCAGAAGGAGGGAGTGATAAACAGCTTCAAATGCAAATAGCATGTAAACTGCCACATGTTTATCAGAATAGGCCACTGCAAAGTTCCATCTGTGACATGGGAGAAAGGGCTTTCTGCAAAATTACTCAGCCAGAAAGCTGGATTAAATGGGAAATGATGAAAGGAGGCATTGCAGGCTATTCTTTAGATTAGATTGCCTGCATTAGTAGGTTAAAAGATTGAGGGGGAGAATGTTTATCATTAAAAAATAAAAAAGATGTTGTTTCTATATTGAGTAGCATAATCTATCAATGAAGCAGAGATTGAAGATGTGGAAGAAAGTGAGTATCATGAGAGAGGCTATTCTCCCAGGAAGTCCAGAAGAGACACACAGAGAACAGAGGTTGGAAGTGACCCAAAGACGAAGTGAAGGATGGCAGCTCCTCTCAGGCCCGAGGAATGATTTGGCGTTGATGAATGGAACAATGGTATGGTAGCATCTTAAAGAAGAAGGATTTGATCTTTAGCAATATGGGGTGAGAGAAAAAATGTTTTATCAGTCCTAAACCAAAAATAAGTTACAGTGATGAGAAGTATGTCGTTAACAGACTTATTCATTTATTCAAGTCACATTGATTATCTACCACGTACCAGACACTACTATTTAGACATAACAATTAAAATCTAGCCTATAAAATTAATAAGAAATTAATTATGAAAAATAACATTTTAAAATAATAAGTCTTTGGTGTGATGAGTGTTACCAAAAAAGTAGTATGAGAAATCAGGTTTGATGACTTTTTTTATAATTTTTTATTGAAAAATAAAAGTTGTATATATTTATCATGTACCACATGTTTTAAAATATATACACATTTTATAATGGCTACATTGAACTAAAATAATTCCGATACTACCTCTTTCTTTCATATTGTTAACCAGAAGGAGGAGAGTTGGACCTGAATGCTTGCTATTTGCACTTTACTCTGTGCGTCCAGTCCTCAAGTACAACATACAGTCATAGGCAGAGTGAGACATCTGAAACTGTAGAAATGTCTGAAATAGTTGCTGGCCCAAAACTACTTTGATGAGAGAACAGATGGGTGACAGCCTGGAGTTTCTATAAGCAGTTAGGAAAAATAGTCAATGTTAGCAAACAACATCCATAGTAACAAGCCTGAAATCGCCAAGAGAATATTTTTCATTACTGATGTGTAAACATTTGCCAAAGTTATGACGAGCAGAAGCTGCTTCTCCTAACCTCGTGGTGCCCACTCCGCTGAGTGTCTTTCCAAAAGCAATTCACTGAGCTCATGGTACCTGTAAAACATCTCGTCCAGGGAGCCTTACCTTATCAAAGAGTATGCGACACTTTATCTAATGAGTGTGCTTCTAAGACATGTGTCCCCAGTCGTATAGCTTCTTCCTTTCGGGTTCCTGAGGGAGACGACAGAAAAAACAAAATATCAGTGGATTCATAAGAATTAGTACAAAAGCCCCGAAAAACAAAAATTCATTTTGTTTACCAGGTAGGATTTGAGAACAAAAGAATAATAAGTAATTATTTCTGTGTGTAATGATATTTACGTGAATTCCCCTTCTACCGGTTTTCTACTGATACTGGAACAAAGTACTACAGACCTTGTGACACAAACCACCAGGAATGTATTATCTTCCAGTACTGTAAGTCGGAAGCCCAACAGGGATCTCCTGGGCTAAAATAAATGAATTAGTTGGACTGTGTTCCCTTCTAGGGGCTTTAGGGAGACTTGATTTTCTTGCATTTTCCAGTTTCTAAAGGCCAACAACAATCCTTGGCTCAAGGCCCCTTTCCTCCATCTTCAAAGACAGGAAGGTTGTATCTCTCTGACCATTCTCACATCAGCACGTCTCCTTCTGACTCTGTCCTCTGACTCCTTCTTATACCTTTAAGGACCCTTGTGATTCCACTGGGCAGGACCCTCTCTCTAACTCAACGTCATTAAGTTTAATTACATCTGAAAGTCCTTCTGTCATGTAGGGTAACATATTCACAAGTTCTAGGGAATACCCTGCCTACCATGGCCCCATTGCTTAATTAAAAAGTTGATAACAGGTAAAATGGAAAAAATACAAAAATAATTTAGTCAGGCTTGATTATTTTAACATGTATGTTAAAAGTAGATTTTTATCAGTGGGATGAAACCAAGCTGTATATTCTACGTGGCCTTTCAGTACTCTTCTACTCGAGTAACAACTACGGAAGCTAGAGAGCATACAAAAAGATGGTGTAGGAAATGGTCAGTGCACAAGACCAGAAACTACACACCTGTGTAGTGGTATTGGCTTTTTTAATGTGCTGTGAAAACTAGGAAAAGCCATAATTTTAAAGGTCTTTTAAATATGTAAAGTGGGGGATATTAGGCATCATTATTGGCATATACACAGATACTTTATAATTTCTCACTCTGCCCTCAAAACATAAAAATCACGTGAGAAATCTGCATGTGAAAGTTCTTTGTAAATTGTAAAACACCATATAATTATGAGGGATTTTTACAAGTTTTTGAAAGCTTTTCACATGGATTAATTATCATTGATTCAAAGAGAGTTATGATGTATGTAGGACAACTGTTATCATTCTCTTTTCAATTATACAGCAATTGAGACTGACAGGATGTTTGTTGTCCCAAGCCAAAACGGTAACAGATTTGAGATTCCAAAGACTCAACGGGAGTCTTTGCCCTCACCTCCTGGGTATGCACTCCTACATCCGCTTGTAAATTAAGGGATTAAACACTCAGGCAAAAAGCACACAATATAACTTCAGTCCATGAGTGAAAGCTTGGCCTCTAACAAAATGACGACTTGAAGAATCATGAGAAAGAAAGAGACTGCCAATGTGAGCAGAGGAACCTCGTCAACAGTGACTTGACAGGAAAGAAAAATTTTAGATGTAATTAATTTCAAAGATTTATAATCAGCCTATGGGTGGGTAGAGGAGTAGACCAGTAATCCTGACAATTGGAAGTTAGATTTAGTGTTTGCTTTTGTGTAGTGTTAGAAAAAATTGTGTAGAGTGTAGAACTACGCCACTATAATGATATCTGTTGTACAATGAAGAAAAATTCCCACGTCATCACGGAAGTATAAGATGCTCAATAATAATTAGTGACTAATTATCAGAGAAATGCAAATCAAAACCAATTGCAATGCAATGATATATCACCTTACTCCCATTCAGATGAATACTACCAAAATAAATAAGTAAAATCACAACTATTGACAAGAATGTCGAGAAATCGGGACTCTTGTGCACTGTGGGGACTGTAAAATGGTGCAACAGCTATGGAAAGTGAAGTATTAAGGATTTACCTAAAAAGACTCAGTTATTCCAAAGTAATCATTTAAAATCGAATGGGGGGTGTATTTTAAATAGATTCCATATTTAAACTGAAGGGAGACAGTTGAACCTGGAAGAAACTGTAATATTGTTCACTGTAAATTCTAACTTATTCAGCTATCTGTTGAAACATTGGCTCAAAAGCTATAGTGGTTTTTCAAAAAATTGAATATATGATCTAGCAATCTCACTTCTGAGTATATACCCAAAAGAATTAAAAACAGCATCTTGAGGTCTTTCACACCTACGTTCATAGCTGTACTATTCACAACAGCCAAAAGGTGGAAGCAACCTAAACGTTCATCAGCAGATGAGTGGATAAACAAAATGTGGTATAGGCACACAGTGTGATATTATTCTACCTTAAAAACAAAGGAAATTATTTCACATGCTATAACATAAATGAACCTCGAAGACTCTGGGCTAAATGAAATAAGTCACTTACAAAAAGGCAAATACTGTATGATTCCACTTTTACAAGGTATTTAAAGTAGCAAAATTTATTGAAACACAAGATAGAATAGTGGTTACCAGGGTTGGGGAGAGTTGAAAAGTGGGAATTGTTGTTCAATGATTATAAGTTTTACTTTGGCAAGATTATTCAGGTGAATATGCTTAACATTACTTAACTACACAATTTAAAAAGAGCCCAAATAGCCAAGGCAATCCTAAGCAAAAATAACAAAGCTGGAGGCATCACATTACTGGACTTCAAACTATACTACAAGGCTACAGTAACTAAAACAGCATGATACTGGTACAAAAACAGACACATAGACCAACAGAACCAAATAGATAATCCAGAAATAAGACCAGACATCTAAATCATCTGACCTTTGACAAATATGACAGAAACAAGCAATGGAGAAAAGACTTCTTATTTCAATAAATGGTGCTAGGATAACTGGCTAGCCACATGTAGAAGACTGAAACTGGATTCCTTCTTTACAGCATACACAAAAATCAACTCAAAATGGATTAACGCCTTAAATATAAAACCCAAAACTATAAAAACCCTGGAAAATAACCTAGGAAATACCATTCTGGACATAGGAAGTGGCAAAGATTTCATAACAAAAACACAAAAAGCAATTGCAACAAAGCACAAATTAACAAATGGGATCTAATTGAACTAAAGAGCTTCTTCACAGTATAAGAAACTATCAGCCAGGCACAGTGGCTCACGCCTGTAATCCCAGCACTTTGGGAGGCCAAGGCAGGCAGATCACGAGGTCAAGAGATCAAGACCATCCTGGCCAACATAGTGAAACCCCGTCTCTACTAAAAATACAAAAATTAGCTGGGTGTGGTGGCACATGCCTGTAGTCCCAGCTTCTCAGGAGGCTGAGGCAAGAGAGTGTCCAGAGTGACACTCCAGGCTGCTGTGTGGATGCAAGGACCCACTCTCCTCCTGCAGACATAGAAAGGGTACTCCTCATAGACACAGCCACCAACCTGGAGAAGTAAAGGAGAGTGAGTCTGGGCGCAGTGGCTTACACCTGTAATTTCAGCACTTTGGGAGGCCAAGGTGGGCTGTGTCTCTACAAAAACTACCAAAAAAAATTAGCCAGGTGTGGTGACACATGCCTGTAATCCCAGCTACTCCAGAGATTGAGGCATGAGAATCACTTAAACCCAAGAAGCGGAGGTTGCAGTGAGCCAAGGTCACACCATTGCACTCCAGCCTGGGTGACAGAGTGAGACTCTGTCTTAAACAAACAAACAAACAAAAAAAAAACAAACAAAAAAGAGTGAGAGAAGTGAGAGAAAAGTAGAGTATTGAAGATTTATCTGAAAGGACTCAGTTGTTCCAAAACAATCCTTTAATATCTAATAGGGAGTTGTATTTATTTTAAATACACCCCATATTAAACTGAAGGGAGACAGTTGAAACTGAAATATTATTAACTAGAAATTCTAAACTACGCAGCTATCTGCTGAAACATTGGCAAGAGCAGGCCCATGATAGAGAATAACAAAACTATACGTTCTGTGGATACCTAAGTTGGAGTGCCTGTTAAATGGGTATTCTCTGTCTCTGTTTTGACTGAGGCCCAAAGATAGTAACTGTCAATGCTACTCATATTGCAGAACAATCTGTGAATCCATCAAAGCAGACCTTGCCAAGGAGGCGGCTGGGAATAATTTGGGGACCCTCGGAAGACCACTTGCCTCCATTCTTTTAGAAATATTGGACACGAAATTAGAAAGGTTTTCTGTGGGAAAGATATTGGTATGCTGCTGTTCCACTACTTGGCCTCCAGGACTTTTCTGAGGGACAAAGATGCCTGCTAGGGATTCACTTTATATCTGTGTCAGGAGATGATGGGTCTGTGTTAGTCTGTTTTATGCTGCTGTAACAGAGTACCACAGACTGGGTAATTTATGATGAACAGAAGTTTATGTGGTTCATGGTTCTGGAGGCTGGAAGTCCAAGAGCATGATGCCGACATCTGACAAGGGCCTTCATGCTGCATTATGTCATGACAGAAAGTGGAACGGCAAAAGAGGTCAAGAGCAAGAGCAAGAGGGGGCTGAACTTGCTTTTATAACAAGCCTACTCTCTTAATAATGAACCCACTTCCACGATAATGGTGTTAGTCCACTTATGAGGGCTCTGCCCTCTTAAAGGTTTCATGTCTCAAAACTGTTTCACTGGCAAATAAGTTTCCAACACATTCAGACCAAAGAAGAGTCCTCAGATCCACCCAGAGTCCAGAGGTGCCCACTGTGGAGTGGGCAGATTGGTCTCATTTAACCCTTTGTTGTGACTTGCTGGCACCTGTTCCTAGAGCCCATGGCTCTGACCATTTGACATGCATTTGAAGTCCTTACCAGTAGTGTCCTCTTTATTGTGATTCCAGATGTGGCAGACAGAAAGAGATAGAAAGTGTGCCAGTTTGGGGTTCATCTCAGATGCTACCCAGGAAGACTACCCAGAAGGACTTGTCAAGAAAAGGGTGAGTCAGCAGCTTCCTAGGAGCTGAGGGAGGAGACAGAAATGGTTGAGGTAAAGAGATACAACCCTGCATTTCTAGCACCATGGCCAGAATGGAAGCAATACTTGATTTCCTGAATGTCCAAGAGCATATGCTCTATGTGACACCAGGGGTAAAAAGAGAGGGTGCAGCTGTTGAAATTCAACAGTCACTGGAGTTGAGCATCGTGGCTTACTCAGTTCCTGGGGAAGAGAGGTGTGCTTGCCTGCCAGGCTTGCATTGCAACAACTAGCATTTCCTGTTCTCTCTGCCCACTAAGAAAGAGCTAGAAGAAGAAGGGAAAACTGCTGCATTCAGAAAGTGGAAACATTTATGGAAGCAGAGATTTTACTATGTCCCCCGAAGAAAAAATTGGTAGACTGAAAATAGCTGCCAATGTCCGCCATGTGAATTAGCATGAACCACCCCAATTAAATAGAGAAATATTTCAATAGTGATTCTAAACATACACATCACATCGAATGTGTTCATATGAATTTTAAGTAGTCTGCTCTCCAGAAAGCACTAAGGGCTGCTTTGTACAGCACAAGAAATGGCCCTGAATGCCAAAAAGTTCCTTCAAACACCACAAAACTACTTGATATACAGTTTATCTGAAAAAGATTCCCACAAGGTATAAACTGAATTCCTTAAACACACTGCCAATAGATGAAGAAAATAGTGGTTTAATAAATACTGAATTCCTTTCTATAAAAGTATATCCAAAAGGAAAAAGTTGAAATTGAAGATGTTATATTAAAATATGCCATTGTAAGTTGAAACATTTTTGCATAAATTTTTAAAATTCTCATATTCAGAGAAAGAAGTATGTGAGAAATTATCCATAAAGTGGCTGATATGGCATTCTGAATTTTAAAATTGGGTATACAGAAAACAAGTTATTTTAACTTCAAAATGACTATTTGTAAAATTAAGCCCACCTTATACACAGAAGACTTGGAAATTTAGGGCCCATCAACAAAAAGGGAAAAGTAGATTTATTCAATCAGTCCATTGGTTGCATTTGATTATTTTACAAAAATTTAAAAATCATTAAGAATTGAGGTTGTCTCTTTAAAAAAATCATTCCTGAAATGTGTATAGAATTGTGATGCTATCATGCTACCTAACTTCAAAGTATACTACAAGGCTACAGTAACGAAAACAACATGGTACTGGTACGAAAACAAATATATAGACCAATGGAACAGAACAGAGGCCTCAGAAATAACACCATACATCTACAAGCATCTGATCTTTGACAAACCTGACAAAAACAAGGAATGGGGAAAGGATTCCCTGTTTAATAAATGGTGCTGGGAAAACTGGGTAACCATATGTAGAAAGCTGAAACTGGATCCCTTCCTTACACTTATACAAAAATTAATTCAAGATGGATTAAAGACTTAAATGTAAGACCTAAAACTATAAAATCCCTAGAAGAGGCCGGGCGCAGTGGCTCACGCTTGTAATCCCAGCACTTTGGGAGGCCGAGGCGGGCGGATCACGAGGTCAGGAGATCGAGACCATCCTGGCTAACACGGTGAAACCCCGTCTCTACTAAAAAAATACAAAAAAATTAGCCGGGCGTGATGGCGGGCGCCTGTAGTCCCAGCTACTCGGGAGGCTGAGGCAGGAGAATGGCGTGAACCCGGGAGGCGGAGCTTGCAGTGAGTCGAGATCGCGCCACTGCACTCCAGCCTGAGCCACAGAGCGAGACTCCGTCTCAAAAAAAAAAAAAAAAAAAAAAAATCCCTAGAAGAAAACCTAGGCAATACCATTGAGGACACAGGCATGGGCAAAGACTAAAACACCAAAAGCAATGGCAACAAAAGCCAAAATAGACAAATGGGATCGAATTAATCTAAAGGGCTTCTGCACAGCAAAAGAAACTACCATCAGAGTGAACAGGCAACCTACAGAATGGGAGAAAATTTTTGCAATCTACCCATCTGACAAAGGGCTAATATCCAGAATCTATAAAGAACTTAAACTAATTTACAAGAAGAAATGAAACAACCCCATTAAAAAGTGGGCAAAGGATATGAACAGACGCTTCTCAAAAGAAGACATTTATGCAGCCAACAGACACATGAAAAAATGCTCATCATCACTGGCCATCAGAGAAATGCAAATCAAAACCACAATGAGATACCATCTCACACCAGTTAGAATGGCGATCATTAAAAAGTCAGGAAACAACAGGTGCTGGAGAGGATGTGGAGAAATAGGAACACTTTAACACTGTTAGTGGGAGTGTAAATTAGTTCAACCATTGTGGAAGACAGTGTGGCAATTCCTCAAGGATCTAGAACTAGAAATACCATTTGACCCAGCCATCCCATTACTGGGTATATACCCAAAGGATTATAAATCACGCTACTATAAAGACACATGCACATGTATTTTATTCTAGCACTATTCACAATAGCAAAGACTTGGAACAAACCCAGATGTCCATCAATGATAGACTGGATTAAGAAAATGTGGCACATATACACCATGGAATACTATGCAGCCATAAAAAATGATGAGTTCATGTCCTTTGCAGGGACATGGATGAAGCTGGAAGCCATCATTCTGAGCAAACTATCACAAGGACAGAAAACCAAATACCGCATGTTCTCAATCATTGGTGGGAATTGAACAATGAGAACACTTGGACACAGGGCGGGGAACATCACACACCGGGGCCTGTTGTGGGATGGGGGGAGGGGGGAGGGATAGCATTAGGAGATATACGTAATGTAAATGATGAGTTGATGGGTGCAGCACACCAACATGGCACACGTATACATATGTAACAAACCTGCATGTGTGCACATGTACCCTAGAACTTAAAGTATAATAAAACAAAATAAAATAAAATACAATATAATAAAGTAAAAAAGAACTGTGTGTTCTTTTAGTAAAAAGAACTTCCAGGTGTAGTTCTGGACTTACTCTTCCATGCATGCCGGCACCACATAACAGAGTTTCCATCTAGTGCAGATTTGTTTACAACAATGCTTTCTCGGGGACTGCATATGCGTTTGTCTTTTATGGACTTCCAGAATGCCAATGTGGACAGGCTCCTTCCAGGACTGTGAATGTGCAGGAGTCCACTGTCACGGGGATATCATTCAGATAACTGTCTTTAGACTTGAAAGAATCATAGCAGAGTCTCAGCAAATACTTAGCAGACACTGCCTTGGTCATTTTGATGTCCCAAGGGTAACCTGAAATACAATTCAACACTCACATCCTCTCCTGTCTCCAAAAATAAGGATAAAACTCTTGGCATGCAAAAGCAACAAATATTTAGAGGCCCTAAAGCAAGTCTGTAGTGAGCATGAGTTCTGGAAAGTTAATATACAAAGCCCAAGACCAGTAGGATACTGTGGAGCAGACCAGCTGAGAGATTCCAGAGTGATTTCACAGCAAACCTTCAATACATATAGAAATACACCGAAGACCAAATTCTCCTGTATGAAGAGTTTTATCATTTATTACCTAGAAAGCAAGCTATGCATTTACATAATAACACAGTCCTCTCAGACTGGGATCACTGTGGAAGCATGTTGGATGATATTCAAATTCTCTGAACTGGGTATGCATTGAAAGCTGTGGGGCATTTCATTTAAAATTTAAAAAGTATAAAAGTATAATTTTCTAAGAACCGTGGATTGGAAGAGTTACTTTCCTTCCACAGTAACTTATCTTGGCCAAAGGAAAACCTTCAGCTTGGCAGGACCCACGGTATCACAGATCCATGCCCTTTGGCATAAATATCTAAAATGTTTTGACTACCTTTGGAAACAAAAAAAGCTGTGAAGGCAAGATGGAGTGGAGAAGAGGAAAGAATTGAGGAGAGATTCTGCTATTATTATTTTTAAAATCTTGGTTGATTGCTTTCTTTGATTTTGTTTTCTTTTAAAGTAACTTTGCAATAAGTAATAGAAGAAAAAGTATATAACTTAGGACAAAAGAAATAAAAATGATATTTAAAATAAAATTTTGATCAGAAGCAGATTTCCCCTCTTAGTACCAACCTATATTGCATATTTTTCATATTTTAAACATGGAAAATAAGTATACTTTAATAATTATACTTACTAATAACTGTCTTCTGTCAAACAGAAAAAGATGTAAGTAAACTGCATTCTTCAGTGTTACTGTGAATAGATAGAGAAAAATATTTTTAATAGAACAATGTTTCCTAGTTTCATAATTTTAAAAAAATTGGCCAGGCACCGTGGCTCACGCCTGTAATCCCAGCACTCTAGGAGGCCGAGGCAGGCAGATCACGAGGTCAGGATATCAAGACCATCCTGGCTAACACGGTGAAACCCTGTCTCTACTAAAATACGAAAAAATTAGCCGGGCATGGTGGTGGGCGCCTGTAGTTGCAGCTACTTGGGAGGCTGAGGCAGGAGAATGGCGTGAACCCAGGAGGCAGAGCTTGCAGTGAGCCGAGATCACGCCACTGCACTCCAGCCTGGGCGACAGAGCGAGAATCTGTCTAAAATTCTTATTTAGTCTTGAGCACTAAATAAATGTGACTGATAATATTTTGGAGAATAAACATAACTTAAGTAACTTTACTAAAAATTAAAAATTCATACAAAAGTTATCTCGTTCACATAATTTTTCATTCAAAAAACTGATGAGTAAAACATAACTTTGCTCTTGAACTGCAATTTTTCAAAATATTTAACCAACAAAAATCAAGACTTTCATTTTATAAACTTAGAAACAAAATCAGCACACCCCAAATTAGTGATGAGACAACTTCTGTAATTTATTGCAAAAGATTATACTCAGA
This sequence comes from Homo sapiens, assembly GCF_000001405.40. NCBI lineage: Eukaryota > Metazoa > Chordata > Mammalia > Primates > Hominidae > Homo > Homo sapiens. Next base: position 134,625 of record NT_187545.1, on the reverse strand, counting down.
TATCAAGACACATGTAAAGCTCCACCTTAACGAACATAATGGATTAGGAGACACAGCATTCTTATGGCATAATGCACTAAATTTCATAATGTAAACCCAAATTATATTTCAGATTCTGTCTCTAATAAGTCACATGGGATAAGCACTTCACCACTCTTACTTACTTTAAAGAATTTATTATCTCTTCTTCAGCAACCCAATCCCAGAGTCATACTTTGGGTAATTTCATCACCTACTTTGCCTTGCCTCTTATCACTCTCCTTCTAACTTCCGTATTTCTATTTGTTCTCCATGAATCCACTAAGTCCTCCAACCTCTTGCCTCCCTCCATTTTCTCCTAAGCTTTCAAGCCCTGCTGTTTTCCCTTGTTTCTGCACTCAGCCAGGACCAACAATCTATGTATTATTTCATCCAAGAACCCTCGATATCCTTAGTCCTTCCCTATACTACCCCTGAAAATGTCCAGTCCTGGAGCCAGTAAAGTGTAGTTAAAAATGGAGAGTTTTTTGTTTCACTTAGGCCAGATTTATATCTGCCTCACCATTCAGCAGAGTACTTTTCTGCCACCATTCTCATTGATTCCCCATAGAGTGGTGACAACAATGTATAGATTGCAAGAGCTGTTGCAGAAATGAACCATGTGAGCTTGGGCCACATTCTCCAGTGTCTGATATGACAGCTGCTTAATCAAGAATAGCACTTTTCTACTTCTTTTTAAAATTCTCAGGCTGGGCACAGTGGCTGACACCTGTTATCCCACCACTTTGGGAGCCCAAGGAGGGTGGATCACGAGGTCAGGAATTCAAGACCAGCCTGGCCAAGATGGCGAAACCCCAACTCTACTAACAATACAAAAAAATTAGGCAGGCATGGTGGTGGGCACCTGTAGTCCCAGCTCCTCAGGAGGCTGAGGCGGAGAATTGCTTGAACCCGGGAGGTGGAGGTTGCAGTGAGCCGAGATTGCGCCATTGCACTCCAGCCTGGGCGACAGAGTGAGACTCTGTCTCAAACAAACGAACAAAAATTCTCCAAACACTAAGCACAAGAGGAGGAAGGCACACACCCTACGGCTAACAGTGCTCTGACAAAGGCATTGTTTCCAGAGCTGCATTCCTGACATTGTGCACGCAAGAGGATGTTTATTTGATTAGTTACCATCTTTTCTGATTATCTTCAGCTATCTTATCAAAGCTTTTCCTTCTCTAGTCTCTTACCCTCTGTCAGTGCTCTGTAGCCTCAGCAGGTGTGGTTGACATATATTTTATAAAGATGACCAGGACAACCTTCAAAGCATCATAATATCTCCTGCAACCAGCCCTGGCCATCGATGAATAGTATAACCTTCCACTGCTGGTGTCTTCGGAAGCTGCAGGAAAGTGTCCATGTCAAGGAATCTGTGTTCATTGAGAAATATATTTTCTTTCTCTTATAAATGATTGTCATGCTTCCTATTTTTTCCATCAAAATAGTTGAATGTTTGTAATATTAGGAGTTAGGAATTTTACATCTGAAGTTTAGATGTTGTTTGGATAGTTCTACAGTATTTACAGGGTCCGTGGTAGGAAGGAATACAGCCCAGCAGTGAGGCCTACACTTACGTGCATAAGGTTTATTTTTGTGTATTGAAAACACAGAACACTGTGTACATTTCTGGTCCTTAAAATACCATTTTCAAAGACATAAGTACATTGAAACTCAAGGTATAATTTTGATTATAGCCAAAACATTTGAGTGTTTGGTTCTCTTCTGTGCGTGCATCATTACATACCAACTGGACACATTATGCAGAACGGGGACTGCAAATACAGCCTGGGGGCTGCCCATGGTCTTCTGACATGCTACCTTCTGTTATTCTACTCATTTCATGACTCTAGACCCTAATGACTCTCTAAATGCCCTTTTGAGGAATGGTTGATCAAAATGAAAATGGCAGCCCCCATTCCCAGCTGCATGGGATGATAGAAGGATGTACGGCCAAAGTAACACGGCTAGGAGGAAAAGTTCTGTGCTGCCTTCCGGAATTTGACCCTATTTGAACTTTACTCATGTTTTACATACCAGAGGCTTCTCCACCATTGAAAAAGAAGAAAAGAATGCTAAATGATGACTTCATGTGGAAAACAGAAAAGCAGACACTTCTTGGGTCTGGATTGTGACCTGGCACCTGATTTCTTCTTTGATTATTGAGAAGCTCAACATGTACCAGTCCACAAGCAGCAGATAAGCTGTAATAATGCATGAAGCGAGTAGAGCCAATTAACCAGCACATACTGTGTGTTTCTGCTACTGTGGCCACATGCTGGGCTATTATCTAATCACAAAAAGATCAAGGCCACCATCATTAAGTAAGTACATCTCTAAGGTCATTTTGGAAGCCAATTCAAATATCTATTTATGAAGATAAATATCATAAATGATGTGATTATATTTCTGCTTAGAGTCTGTACAAATTGTAATAATCTAAATACATTTATAGCTTCCTGAAAGAATAAAATATTACTATTTATATCCTGTCTCTGATATCCCCTATGTAGACAAAAAGAGTAAAAACAGGTGAGAGAACTGATCTTAAAATACTGTAGGAATCACTGTGAAAAATATCTCACGAATACAAGGACATCTGGGCCAAACTGAAGAAGTACAAAGCACAAAAACCTTACCTTTTAGACCCTGAACATGGCATCAATGTCCCTGAGACCTCCAGGGACCTGAGAACCCAGAGAAGAATATCCTAGTTAGAAGAGAGACTTAGGGGTGCGATAATGCCGTGGGAGAAGTGGAGAACATTGCTCTGGAGTACTCCATTCTGAGAGAGAAAGAGAAAGAGGGGGTATCCAGATTTAAGGGTGACTCTGCAGGTTATTACAATTCTTTACTTCAACACAAATCCTAATTTAGAGGTCAAGCACAGAGAAGAAAAGTTACAAACATTGAAAAGAGAAGAAAAACTGCAGTCAGCTTTGCACCGACCAGAAACAACTGAGCTGAAAACAAAACGACTGTGGATTAAAGAGCTTCATTGAGAGACATGCTGACATTTCGTCTGAGGGCGATCTGCGCAAACCGAAGGAGGCTGTAACCATCTGCAGAGAGACGTGTCCCTAGAAAACAGGCCCAAGTGGCTGTGCCCATCACTGACAGACTGGATCAAGAAAACGTGGCACATATACACCAGGGAATACTGTGCAGCCATACAAAAGGATGAGTTCATGTCCTCTGCAGGGACATGGATGAAGCTGGACACCATCATTCTCAGCACACTAACACAGGAACAGAAAACCAAACACCACATATTCACTCATAAGTGGGAGCTGAACAATGAGAACACATGGACACAGGGAGGGGAACATCACACACTGGGGCCTGTCAGAAGCTGGGGGACTAGGGGAGGGATAGCATTAGGAGAAATACCTAATGTAGATGACGGGTTGATGAGTGCAGCATACCACCATGGCACATGTATACCTATTTTGTAACAAACCTGCACGTCTTGCACATGTATCCCAGAACTTAAAGTATAATAAAAGAAAGAAAAAATAGACCCAAATTGAAGTGCCCTAAATCATTCTTATGTCCCACTAAAGTATGTATATATTAAAAAATAAAACTTTTTTTTTTTTTGAGACAGGGTCTTGCTCTGTCACCCAGGCTGGAGTGCAGTGGTGAGGTCTCAGCTCACTGCAACCTCCACCTCCCGGGTTCAAACGATTGCTCTGCCTCAGCCGCCCGAGTAGCTGGGATTACAGGTGCGCACCATTACACCCAGCTAATTTTTGTTTTTAGCAGAGATGGGGTTTTGCCATGTTGGCCAGGCTGGTCTTGAACTCCTGACCTCAGGTGATCCCAAATTGCTGGGATTACAGGCATGACCCACCACGTCTGGCCAAAAAACAAAACATTTTAAGAGAGATAAATTAGAGTAAATATGTACAACATAAATTAACAACAGAACTAATTTCCTGATAAATTAAAATTTCATGAAAGTCAGTAAGAAAAAAAACCAGTTATTTAATTATAAATCTGGTCAGAAGAAAAAACCAGGCAAGACATATAAAAGTAGTATAAGGGGGCTGGGCACACTGGCTCACACCTATAATCCCAGCACTTTGGGAAGCCGAGGCGGGCAGATCATTTGAGGTCAGGTGTTCAAAACTATCCTGGCCAACATGGTGAAACCCCGTCTCTACTATAAAAAAATACAAAAATTAGCCAGGCGTGGTGGTGCACGCCCTTAATCCAGGCTACTCGGGAGGCTAGGCAGGAGAATCGCTTGAGCCCAGGAGGTGGAGGTTGCAGTCAGAAGAGATTGCACCACTGCACTCCAGCCTGGGTAACAGAGTGAGACTCCGTCTCAAAAAAAAAAAAAAAAAAAAAAAAGGTAGTATAAGGGTGGGCACAGTGGCTCATGCCTGATTCCCAGCACTTTGGGAAGCTGAGGCAGGAGGATCACTTGAGCCCAAGAGTTCGAGACCAGCCTGGTGTTCTCTAAAACAAACAAACAAACAAACAAACAAACACACGATTAGCTGGGCATGGTGGTTCACACCTGTAGTCCTAGCTACTCAGGAGGCTGAGGTGGGAGGGTAGCTTGAGCCCAGGAGTTCAAGGCTGCAGCGGGCTATGATCATGCCATTGCACTCTAGCATGGGCAACAGAGTGAAACCCTGTTTCAAAAAAAAAAAAGTGGTAGTATATGAGAAGATGATTCCCATTCAGAAAGTGAGATACATTCAGTAGTCGTGTATGAGAAGATGGTAATCCTCATTCATAAATTGACATTCATTCATTTAAACATTCATTAAGCTTATTGAAGTGAGCCATTTGGCAAAGTCAGAATCCCGCTGTGTGACCATGTTAAACAGGTTGTGGGACAATGGGCAATTATTCTATTGATATTACCATGCGGGAATGGAAATTGAAACAGTTTTGGAGAATCAGCTTTGGAGACAAGTTATATTTTATCCAGGGATTTCACTCCTAATAGAAGCTGGAGCTACACTTGCAAAGAGACTTGCTATTAAAAATTATAGTACATTCATATAATAATACAATATATTGTCACCAAAAACTAATTAGGCAAGTATGTATGTAATATATATGTAATACTTGTGAGAGTATAGATATGTGAGACACTCGAGATATTGTTTAACTTAAAAAGTAACTGTCAGAGTGTGTATAGAGTAGTTCATTCATGATAAATTTTATATTGTTATATATAATATACTTCCTATGTATAGAAAATAACTGGAAGTCCGTGCAAGAAACTGTTTCCTCTGAGAACTGGAATAAGAGTAAAAAGGGACATTTATTTTTCACTTAATCCTTGTCTATTCTGTTCCCAAAATATTTCTTACCAGCATAGGAAACTCTCAGAGGAAAAACATTTTTTGGAAATATTCGATGTACTTAAGATAATTTTAGGAAGGCATCCTTAAATATTACTATCTTCCAGTTTTATAATTTTTGTCTGAAGTCCAACTTTGAGAAAATAAAACACATTAATGTTGAAGTTGGTGGTCTCTACTGAGACATACAGATGCATATGAACTGGTTAACTTACGTAAGTGATGAAAGTAATAAATTTGATAATATTTAGATAAAAACTTTTTTCTCTTAAAGAAAAATATATTTTGCTATGACAAAATATTTAACAATAAACTTTTATTTCTAATAATCTTCTGTGAATCTGCAGCCATTGCAAGCCTGTTTTTGTTTTTATGGTAATAATATCCAAACAAACCAACCAAAAAATATAGAGCAGGGCCAGGATTTGAAACAGCACACTAATGATGAACGTCTATTAAACTATAAAATCCCAGTAGAAAAATGATACTATATTAAAAATGGCATTATATAAATAAAAATGTGTATTTATTATTTAAATTATTATTTTACTTTAAAAGGGAAAACATGTTAAACCAATTGATTTGATAGGGGTACCGGACTCTTGCTTTCTTCTGTTCCAGATAGGTAATTTTAGAAACCCCTTTTACAAGTGACGTTATTTCTTCATTACTTTAGAAATCTTGGCAAGAAGAGTTTTTGTTTTGTTTTTCTTTTATTTCTTCTACTTTTTTGCAAATCACCTTCATTGTGTCTAGGTGTGACAGGAATCAAAGAGGAGCCGTGCTGAATAAAACTCCTGGCATGGGCCTCTGGTTTTGCAAAAACCACAATAAATAATAATCCTACTTCTCTCTGGTAGCACTTGCCATATGATGAAATATACTACATTACTACAAACAGCAGAAAATCTTAAGTTTCTGCGTTTGCTGAATAATGAAATTGACAAAAGAGAAATTTATTAAGAAATATAAAACAATTGATGACATTTAAAACACATTTTTATTTAATTCACATATATTTATTATAACCCTCACCAGTTTTTTTGTTTGTTTGTTTGTTTGTTTTCTGAGATGGAGTCTCGCTCTGTCCCCCGGGGCTGAAGTGCAGGGGCGCGATCTCGGCTCACTGCAAGCTCCGCCTCCCGGGTTCCCGCCATTCTCCCGCCTCAGCCTCCCGAGTAGCTGGGACTACCGGCGCCCGCCACCACGCCCGGCTAATTTTTTGTATTTGTAGTAGAGACGGGGTTTCACGGTGTTAGCCAGGATGGTCTCGATCTCCTGACCTCGTGATCCACCCGCCTCGGCCTCCCAAAGTGCTGGGATTACAGGCGTGAGCCACCGAGCTGGCCCTCACCAGTCTTAATAATTATTATTATTTCCCCAAAATGAGTAAGTTGAGGCTTTGAGCATGTCTGATGTTACACAACTAACAAACAGCAGGACTGAGTCTGTCTGACCCCAAGCCATCTTAATCATGGGGCCACATTCATGGAGATGAAGCCTTGGTCTACAAACCTGTAAAATTCTACCTTAGTTAACAAGAAAACAAGAACTCCAAAATGCTCATACATATTCTGATTATATGCCAATTAAATTTACTTTTTTTTTCTGAAAGAGCTTTTCCCTTTATCTACTGGGTGATCAATTTTTATCTCCCATGTCCCATATTGGTATGTTATTTACTATGTCTTATACTTTTTTCAGAATAAATGATGCTTAAATGTCCAAATTTTGGTACGTTTTGCAAATAATAATGCAAATTTAAGTATAAATTAGAGAAAAATGGGCTGGGCGCGGTAGCTCGCGCCTGTAATCCCAGCACTTTTGGAGGCCGAGGTGGGCGGATCACGAGGTCAGAAGATCGAGACCATCTTGGCTAACACGGTGAAACCCCGTCTCTACTAAAAATACCAAAAATTAGCCGGGCATAGTGGCGGGCGCCTGTAGTCCCAGCTACTCAGGAGGCTGAGGCAGGAGCATGGCGTGAACCCGGGAGGCGGAGCTTGCAGTGAGCTGAGATAGGGCCACTGCACTCCAGCCTGGGCGACAGAGCGAGACTCTGTCTCAAAAAAAAAAAAAAAATTAGAGAAAAATGCTTTAATCATATTTATAACTAAACCAAACTTTTAATTAATTACATTTAAGTTTCCAGTAAATTTTATTACTTAAAAAGTCCATATAATTCTGGACTAATTATGTTAGCTGATTACCAAAACCCACACTGCTATTAACATGCCTGTGTCAATAATATTTTTTTAACAGTTCATTAGCATGGACTATTACATAATGTTCTCCTTGAAATAATCCATTGTTGCTTCTTCCTTTAAGGAAATTGGATAAATTCATTGCAACAAAATATTTCTATATAATCCGAGTAACAGTTGATACCAAACTGTGTCAAATATGTACAAAAGTGAAAGGGGTATTTAAGTGTGATTTTCCTAAAAAGTAGATATCTAAGTCTGTATAAATAAAATGAATATTTCAAAGATTTACTTATTTGCTTCCAGGCATCAGAATTAATTACCACAGTCCATTTTAAGAAGAGTAAGAGTTAACACCTTTCTCGATGTATAAAAGCAATTCAGTGTGAATAAAGTACCCAGTATATCCAGAACATTGACACTTGAGCTAGACAGAAGTGACCAGCATGATTTCCAAATGATCATTTTTATTAGATAACTGAGGTATTATTAAAGAGAATGTTCCAGTCTTTGAAGTGTAAGTGTCTGCCAAACCAGAAGCCCTGCCCCTTTAATCTGCATTTAATTATATTTTCTTCATGGCCCCTTGGTCTGCTCTTTCTCATACTTAAACAATTTTATTAGTTGTAATGCATCATGAATCTAAGCGTAAATCTGGATGTGAAAGTATCACTAAGAGATATCTCAGCTTAATTCTTTTCTGGGTCGACTCAATTTTAGCAGTTGGGTTTGTTTTCAAAATACGTCCCGAATACATTCTCATAACTCCTGGAGTTGCATATTTGTCTTTATTTTCTATTCCTACTTTACTAAGCACACCTTTAGATAAAAAATCATGGCCATTTTTTCTTCAGCATCCTCACAGTCACCCCATATTCCATTACAGGGGGCCTCTCTATTGCTGTCTAATGAGTATAACTTATCACACTCGCTATTTGGTTTTGACTTTGGAAATTTCTGCACAGTGAAAGTTCTTGAATTTGGGTTTGCTTATTTGAAATCACCAAATATTCACTTAAAATAATAAAAATCAAAATATGTTTTATGAGTATTCAAAATGATGGAATATACTTGATAATTTGGACTAATCTTATGGAGTCAATTTGTCTTTGGCATAATGATCTCAAGATTTTCCTTTACACTTGGTGCTGTCTTAAAAAAACACTCGATAGCAAGACAATTTGAGATTAATCAAAATTAATATTAATTGGCCTAAACTTATTAAACTGAACATTTTACTGTTAAGCAAATTATACCTCAATGTTAAATTCATCCATTTATCCACCCATCCATCCACCCATCCATCCATCCATCCCAAGTCTTCTTCACTGGCGACCAGTCTTTGATCACAAGCTATCTGGGAATTCCACTCAAACCTGCCTCTGCGTGTTGGACACAGTGTACGCTACTGGTGGCAAGTTACTAGCATCTGAGGAGTCTGCTGTTGGCTCTTTAAGTTCTATTCTACTCAAGGGAAACCCCTCTTGCCTCTCGGCCACACACGTCCCCAAGTAAAGGCAACCTGCATCTGAAGTCAGGTTGGGTGTAGTTCAAGGAAGGGGAGGATCTTTTACTGGCTGCATTTTCATAGACTTTGTTCTCTTCTTCAAAGGCCTCTATGAAAATTCATATGTGAGAATTGCACCTTAAAATCTGGGACTGAGTAACAACACCTTATAAACCAGTTGGCCTCAATGGTATGTTTCTTGTTTTCTGTCTTTCCTCGTTAAAATTGTTCTTTTTTATAGAAACAATATGCCTTCTTAATTTCTAACTTCATGCTAGATTTCTCCATTTATCTGTCTTACTGAGCATGGAGTACTTAAGAGCATTTAATGATCAAAAATATAAGTTAAATAAAAGATAATGCAATTTTTCAGATGAGAAAACTAAAAGTCAAGTACTTGAAGTGCATATACATAACTAGAGTAGCATTTAGAGAGAAAAAATATTAATTGACCTGATATTATAAATATATTTTTATACTTTTCAAAGTGCGCACACACACTTATGCACATAAAATTTAACCAACATTTGCATATGTGCCAAATACTGTTTTACACGCTTCATAAATATTCACTCGTTTAATCCTCATGATAAACTAGAACACAGATACTATTATTAGGCAGCTTTACAGATGGAAGTGTGAAGAGGTTTGCCTATGGTTATGAAAATAGTAAGTGATTTGAACCTCTATGTCATACTGAGTATCATGGTGTAGAAAAAGGAAGCTTACAACGTAGGCCAGATAAATATTATCATCTCCATTGGGGAAATGCAGAAATCCAGGCAGGGAGCATTTAAATGTTTGGCTCCAGGGTACTTGAATAGATTGGAGCTATTCCAGGAACCCATAATGAAGGTTAGTTCTGATTCCTGTCCAATTTTTTCCCCATTATGTTATATTGCCAAAGTTTCTGCAGTCTTGATAATCACACCAAGCAAATATGAGTTTGTTAAATTATTTCTCCAAGATATAATTTATTGATATTAAATTTTAGCATTAGAATAAATGTTTATGAAAACACAATCAGGATGCAAAATAAAAAAAAAGTTGAATTTAGTACATAAATGATATGAACAAAATGCATGAAGTACCAAGCTTCAAATGCAGTATTTCAGATCAATAGTTTATACCATTTTAATTCAACAAATGTCTATTGAATGCTTAATATATTCATGGGCTATAGAATAAAACTAAGAAACAGAGGAGATCTAATCCCTGACTTCAAGTTACGAATCATCAGACAAGCACGTAGGATTCTATCATTTTTTTTTTATCTTAGGAAGGAAAATAAAATGATTTTGAAGACACTCAGCAACAGGTATGGTTTAATATAGGGCTTGGATTACTTTTTCCTTTCCTAATTGTACCATATAAATAACGATGAAATTGAATTAAGAAAATATGGTGTTGAATCACAGCAATATATGATCTTAATCAAATCCTGTAATCTCTTTTATATTCAGATCATCCATTGTTAAAATATAATTCGTAATGCTTACCTCAAAAGTTAGGAAAATAAAATACTATATAAAGGATTGTGTAAACCATAGCATGCTGTAAAAACTGAATTAGATCATCTAAGTGAAATTAATATTTACATTTAAAGCATAGAGACCTATTTGTAGTCAATTACACCTTACTATTACCTGAGGAAAATGCAAAGGAAGATTCATTGCAGTGTACCTGTGGAGAGCCACAGGCTGTGCCAGAGACTGTAAATAACATAATCTCAATTACTCTTCATCATGCCTCTATAAGTGGTCATCGCATAATATGAGGAAGCTGAGTGTCAACGTGACTCTATGACATCTCTGAGGTCATAGCATTAGAACGTAGTAGAACTTAGGTCTCATTTCAAACTTAGGTCTTTCTAGCTTGAAAAGCTCTTTCCATACCTCCATGCCATCTCAGCAATTTGGGTTGGCTGAATTTCTTAAGATGTGTTAATATTTTTAAGTGTGATAAAATATACCTATATAAAAGTTACATAAGTTATCTGAGGTCAGGAGTTTGAGAACAGCCTGGGCAAAATGATGAAACCTCGCCTTTACTAAAAATACAAAAATTAGCCAGATGTGGTGGCAGGTGCCTGTAGTCCCAGCTACTTGGGAGGCTGAGGCAGGAGAATCACTTGCACCCGGGATGCAGAGGTTGCAGTGAGCTGAGATCGCACCACTGCACTCCAGTCTAGGCGACAGAGTGAGACTCTGTCTCAAAAAAAAAAAAAAAATGTTATAAGCCAGGCGCAGTGCCTCATGCCTGTAATCCCAGCACTTTGGAGGCCAAGGCGGGTGGATCATGATGTCAGGAGTTCAAGATCAGCCTGGCCAACATGGTGAAACCCCATCTCGAACTAAAAATACAAAAATTAGCCAGGCATGGTGGCCCGTAATCACACAGGTGGTAGCCTGTAATCCTAGCTACTTGGGAAGCTGAGGCAGGAGAATCTCTTGACCCAGGAGGTGGGGGTTGCAGTGAGCCAAGATGGCACCACTTCACTCCAGCCTGGGTGACAGAGACTCCATCTCAAAAAAAAAAAAAAGTTATATAAATTATCATCCTAACATTTCTAAAAGTACACTTCAGTGAACATCATTACATTGTTGTGCAACCGTCATCAATATCCATATCCAGAACCCTTTCAATCTTGTAAAACTGAAACTCTAACCATTAAACAAGAACTCACCATTGCCTTTCCACCAGCTGCTGACAACCCCCATTCTATTTTCTGTCTCTATGAATGTGACTACTCTAAGTACACTGTGTAAGTGGGATGATTAGTGAAACACCAGGAGTTCAGTCTAGGTTCTTCTACTGGCTGCACAGAAAGCCAAGAACTGAGACAATGAGTATTGCCAAGGAAGAAGGCTTTAATCGGGTGCTGCAGCCGAGGAGACAGGAACTCAGTCTCAAATCCATCTCTCTGACCAACTACAACTAGGAGTTTATATAGCAGGGAAGGAATGTAACAATGTGTAAGGAAACAGGAACTAGTGAGGGGCAAGGAAGCCATCATGATGAATGAGGGGTCTGGCATCTCATTGTCTGGATGTGGTAACTGGGTGAGTTTCAGTTCTTTAATACTTTTTTTTGAGAGGCCTGAAGGTCATTTCCTGAAGAAGGAACTCAGAAAAAACAAATATAAGTTTCAAACTTTAATACCAAAGGGGTCAATTTCTATGTTCATCAAAATTTTTTTTAAAAAATGGGACTATTCGGTCTGTTTCAGAATCATACAGTATTTATCCTTTTATGACTGGCTTATTTCACTCAACATAATGACCTACAGTTGTAGCATGTGTCAGAATTTCCTTCCATTTTAAGGCTGAAAAATATTTTATTGTAAGTAAATGTCATAGTTTGTTTATTCCGCCAGCAATGAACACTTGGCTTACTTCCACCTTTTGACTATTGTTAGTAATGCTGCTTATGAACATAAGTGCAAAAATATCTGTACAAGTGCTTCATTTTAATTATTTTTGATATATACCCAGAAGTGAAATCACTGCACCATATGGTAATTCTATTTTTAATTTTTTGAGTAACCACCATACTGTTTTCCATAGTGGCTGCACCATTTTATCTCCCACCAAAAATGCAAAAGTTTTCCAGTTTATCCACATCCTTGCCAATGCTTGTTATTTTCTGATTTTTTTTTAATAGTAGCAATCCTAATGGGTATCAAGTGGTGTCACAGTGTTTTGCCAGTCAGGGTTTTGACTTCCATTTCTCTAACAATTAGTGGTATCAAGCATCTCTTCATGTGCTTATTAGCTATGTGTGTATCTTTTTTGTAGAGATGTCTATTCAAGGCTTTTGTCAATGGTTTAATTGGGTTTCGTGTGTGTGTGTGTGTGTGTGTGAGTTGTAAGAGTTCTTTATATATTCTGAATAACTCTAATCAGTTATATTATTTGCAAATGTTTCCCATTTTATGGGTTGCCTTTTCACTCTGTTGATTATAGCCTGTTTTGCACAGAAGTTTTTAACTTTGGTGTAGTCCAATTTACTTATTTTTCTTCGTTATCTATGCTTTTATTGTCATATCCAAATAATCAATGCCAAATCCAGTGACATGAAGCTTTCCCCTTATATTTTTGTTTAAGAGTTTTATAGTTTTAACTCTTATGGGTTAGGTCTTTGATCCATTTTTAGTTAACTTTTTGTATATAGTCTATGGTAATGGTTCAACTTAACTCTTTTGCATGTGGTTATCTTGTTTTCTCAGGACCACTGGTTGAAAAGACTGCCCTTTCCCTATTGAATATTCTTGGCACCCTTGTTGAAATCATTTGACCATGTATGTGAAGGTTTATTTCTAGGCTCTCTATTCCATTTTGTTGGTCTATACTCTTGTCTTTATGACAATAACCACTGTTTTGATTACTGTAGCTTTGCAGTGAGTTTTTAAATCATGAAGTACGAGACCTCTAACCTTGTTTTTCTATTTCAAGATTATTTTGGCTATCATAGATTCCTTTAATTTCCATTTGAATTTAACAATGAATTTTTCCATGTCTGCAAAAAAGGTCGAGATTTTGATAGGGATTGCATTGAATCTGTAGATCATTTTGGGGAACACTACTATCTTAACAATATAAGTCTTCTAATTCATGAATATCGATGTCTTTCCACTTATGTATATATTTCTTTTATAGTTTTCAGAGTACAAGTCTTTTGCCTCAGTGGTTAAGTTTGTTCTTAAGTGTTTTATTCTTTTTAATGCTATTGTAAATTGAATTGTTTTCTTAATTTCCTTTGGGTTGCTCATCATTAATACACAGAAATGCAATTGATTTTTGTGTGTTGATTTTGAATTCTGCAACTTTGCTGAATTCATTTTTATGTAATAGTTATGGTTTTCTACACATAAGATTATGTGATCTGTGAACAGATATAAATTTACTTCTTCCTTTCTCATGTGGATGACTTTTATTGCTTTTTCTTACCTAATTACTCCAGGTAGGACTTCTAACACTAAGTAGAACAGAAACGGTGAAAGAGAGCATCCTTGTCTTGCTCCTCTTGATCTTAGAGGGAGACCATTCAGTCTTTAACCATTGAGTACGATGTTAGTTCTGGGTGTTTATATTTGGCCTTTACTGTGTTGACGAAGTTTCCTTCTATTACTAGTTGTTGAGTGTTTTGTAATAGAGCATCTTGTCAAATTTTTTCTTTCTGCATCAGTTGAGATCATCACATGGTTTTTGTCCTTCATTCTGTGAATGTAGGGCATTACTTTGATTTTCATATATTTACCATTCTTGCATTCTAGGACTAAAGCCCACTTTGCCATGATGTAAAATTCTTTTAATGTCTTGTGAGTTCTGATTGCTAGTATTTTCTTGAGGATTTCTGCATCAGTATTAATCAGGGATATTGGTCTGTACTTTCTTTTCTCATAGTATACTTGTCTGATTTTGGTATCAGGGTAAATCTGGTCTCGTAGATTGAGTTTGGCAGTACTCCCTCCACTTTGCTTTTTATTAAGAGTTTGAGAAAGATTTGTTTTAATTGTTCTTTAAATGTTTGCTACAATTATCCAGTGAAGTCATCTAGCCCTTAGCTTTTCTTTGCTGGGGGGTTATTACAGAGTTAATCTCCTTACTGTAAGTCTCTTGAGATATTCTGATTCTTCGTGATTCAATCTTGGCCATTTGTGTGTTTCTAGGAATTTGTCCATCTCACCTAAGATGTTCAGTTTGTTGGTATACAATTGTTCACAGTACTCTTTTACAATCCTTTTTATTTCTGCAAAATTGGTAGTAATGTCTCTTCTTTCACTTCTGATTTTCAGTTGAGTCTTCTTTCTTCCTAAATCATTCTAGCAAAGATTTCTCAATTTTGCTAACCTTTTTAAAGAACCAATTCTTTGTGTAAAAAGTTTAATATTTATATTAGCTTTACTATTTTGTTTTTATTCAAATTTATTAGCTTGATAATACATTTGGGTATTAAAATTAAAAGATACGGCTGGGTGCAGTGGCCTATGGCTATAATCCCAGCACTTTGGGAGGCTGAGGTGGGCAGATCGTCTGAGGTCAGGAGTTCGAGACCAGCCTGGCCAATGTGGCAAAACCCTGTCACTACTAAAAATCCAAAAAAAAAAAAAAAAAAAAAAAAGCTGGATATGGTGGCTCATGCCTGCAGCCCCAGCTACTCGGGAAGCTGAGGCAGGAGAATCGCTTGAACCTGGGAGGCGGAGGTTGCAGTGAGCCGAGATTGCACCACAGCATTCCAGCCTGGGTGCCAGAGCGAGACTCTGTCTCAAAAAATACGTGTGTGTGTATGTATATATAATACAACTAATCACACACTTAGTAAATGGCACACCCAGGATTAAACACAAGCTTTCCTGACATAAGTGCCATGATCTGCTCACCCAACATATTGTATTGTGTCTGGAATTTATTCCTTCTGGTGGGTTCTTGGTCTGGCTGACTTCAAGAATGAAGCCACCGACTCTCGCCACGAACGTTACAGCTCATAAAGGTAGTGCAGACCCAAAGAGTGAGAAGCACCCACGACTTATTGTGAAAAGTGAAAGAAAGCTTTCATAGGGAAAGGTACCCAAACCGGTTGCTACTGTTGGCTCTGGTGGCCAGCTTTTATTCCCTTATTTGGCCCCACCCACGTCCTGCTGATTGGCCCATTTTACAGAGCGGTGATTGGTCCATTTTACAGAGCACTGATTGGTCCATTTTACAGAGTGCTGATTGGTCCGTTTTTACAGAGTGCTGATTGGTGCATTTACAAACCTTTAGCTAGACACAGAGTGCTGATTGGTGCGTTTATAATCCTCCAGCTAGACAGAAAAGTTCTCCAAGTCCCCACATGAGTCAGAAGCCCGCCTGGCTTCACCTCTCAGTATGTAGCTTTCTAACTCCACTTTTAAAACCTTAAATGTCATATTTAATATAACTGATGGTACGGTAAAAGATGAGGTTGTTTAAAAAGTAAAATCATCACTCAGTGAACATGCTTACTTTTAACACGTAACTGAGACAACAGAGAATTATGAAACTACCCTGATATGTAGATCCCAGGGAAGAGGAGGGACCAACAACTTAGAAAGCAGGTCAGTAAAAATGTTGTTCCTAAAGACAGACTAAGTCTATACTAATGTGTACACAGGGGGATGGGAGAGGTTGATAGGGCTGTGTTTGCCTCTGCCATTTTGGGGCTCCATCCCCAGTACCATTTTTCTTAGCAATAGTGGACTTATTCCTGTGAAATGTCAATTTGTTCTACAGAGCAATTTCTCTCCAAAACTTTATAGACAACATTTTCCAGGATAAAATGAATAGTTATAGAATAAGTATTATAAGGCCAAATCTGTAAAACGCCTCTTAAAAATCAGGCAAGCCTCCATCTATATGTGTATGTGCCAGACCTGTCATTTCTTTCAGTATTTGTCAAAGGATTTCCAGACTATTAGCATAGTTGGCATTTGTTTAATTAACACTGGAGGTTGTAAATCAAAGTGAAGACTTAAATGTATTCTGTGAGACTCATGTTTCTCACTGCTAAGAATAATTGCACTTTCTAAAGAACTGAAAATTGGCAACTAAGAGTACAAATTTGGATAATTTCACAATAGTTGTTATGCCTATTATCTTCTTCTAAAAAATACATAAAATATTTTATTATCTACAATTAGTTGACACAAATTTTATAGAATTGGGAATATTGATCTTTGTATCTTAAATTTTACATATTTGGTTTATATTCATATTACCCAGCAATTATATTTAAAAGCAGAACTTAATCCTCACTCATCAAATCATATAATCATTTAGTTAGGAGGAAGATTAGGGGTTTTCTTATTCTGCTTTGGAGAGATCTACCCACTGTTTTAATATAATCTTATTTAAAAGGCTCTTCAGTAACCAAAAATTTGTAGCCTCTTTTTTTTTTCTTTCCAGTGCTAAGTCATTTTAAGGTCAGTTTTGTACCTTTATCAGATGGGCATTCTTTCTTTCTATTATTTAATAACATGTTCTCTAGTGTTTTTGTGTTTGTTTTTTTTTGAGACAGAGTCTCACCGTGTCGCCTAGGATGGAGTGCAGTGGAGTGATCTCTGGTCACTGCAAGCTCCGCCTCCGGGCTTCAAGCGATTCTCCTGCCTCAGCCTCCCAAGTAGCTGGGACTACAGGCGCCCGCCACCATGCCCAGCTAATTTTTTGTATTTTTAGTAGAGATGGGGTTTCACTATGTTGGCCAGGCTGGTCTCGATCTCATGACCTCGTGATCCACCCGCCTCGGCTTCCCAAAGTGCTGGGATTACAGGTGTGAGCCACCGCACCTAGCCCGTGTTCTCTAGTTTGTGGAGATTTCATAAATTTATCAGCGTATCCAGTTTCGAAGTCTTTGTGCTGCTCTGTGCCAGCAGGGGACGCCAGTGAACCTGATCCAGGGATATCATTCAATCCCAGAGCCTGGCGTGAAACAGCGCTGGAACGTGTGAGGGAAACGAGCTTGCTCAAAGATCACCATCCCTTAGATCTGTTCTTTCTTTGGCTTCGGTGGGACAAGTCACGGGACCACCATTCTCCCAATCATCAAGCTTGGGTTCAGCGTCCTCTTTTCTCCTTTGGACTCATATGTCATCGGCTCTAATTTACCAGATATTGCCTTCCTCCTAGCTGTTCACATTGCCATTGTCTTCACCCGCCCCTGCTTGGCACATGGCAGTAAACACTGAACACATCTCCTTTCTTTGGCTTATGTCTCTAATCAAGTCTTCACGCTTCTTAGTGTGGATTCTTCCTTACTCTCTATTTTTGCCTTTATTGGTTGATTGATCTTATTGTTCTTTGCGAGCCACAATATGTTTACATTTGAAAATTAATTACCAACTTGAAAATTATGAGTTTTGCATGAAATTCTAGATTTTTAGGTTCTTAAAATGTAACCAAGTACCCCATTTTTCTTTTTCTTTTTTCTTTTGTTTTTTAAGATGGAGTTTTGCTCTTGTTGCCCAGGCTGGAGCACAGTGGCACGATCTCAGCTCACTGCAACCTCCACCTCCCGGGTTCAAGCGATTCTCCTGCCTCAGCCTCCCGAGTAGTTGGGATTACAGGCGCCTGCTGCCACACCCAGCTAATTTTTGTATTTTTAGTAGAGACAGGGTTTCACCATGTTGGCCAGCCTGCTCTCGAACTCCTGACCTCATGATCCGTCGGCCTTGGCCTCCCGAAGTGCTGGGATTACAGGCGTGAGCCACCGCCCCGGCCCCCAGTTCTCCCTATTTTTCTACGGGTGGTTTAATTATATTTTTCCCTCTCACTCTGTTTTCTCCTTTCCCTGGCTCTCTGCTTTCTGCTTAGCTCTGCTGAAATGCAAATATAATCTCTCACCTCTCCCTCACAGGACATTGCCTACACAGCAAGTTCCTCTAACTTCGTGCTCCAAGACAGGTCTCTCCTCCAGAGCTGACGGTGGATTTACAGACCAAAGCATGTCCCCATGGAACTCTCACCTCCAGGGGCGTGCCTCGGAACTGCCATCCTCCAGGGGTGACCTAGGAACTCATACGCACCAGGACAGCACATCGAAAGCATGACCACTTGGCTACTTTTACAACTGAACTCTGCACAGGAAGGTGCCAACTCAACTGCCTGGTAGGTAACTGACCAGAAGCAGTGGGACCCCTGCCCTTGCTCATGTCCTCCCTTACCCTATGAAAATGCCCACTTTTTGCAACAGAGGAGAAGCGGCACATTCAAAGGCGGGATGCTTTGTGCCCCTTCCCCCAAGCTAACTTCGGAATAAATTCACTTATTTTGGATCAGATTTCCCTCGTTAACTGAACTGTACGTGCAGTGAGCAAGTAACCTGCATTTCAGTTACAAATTACAGAAGACCTGGCCACTCAGAGTAGATAGCCTCATCTAGTTTCAGATGAGAGAGAGCAATGAAAGTTTCTGCTTTTTTAAAAAACAAACAAACAAAAAAAACCTGGCTTGTCTTGAAACTAGGAGAATCAGGTATTCTACCCCTTTTTGGCATGACTTAAACTTACTACCAGTGTAAAGCCTTAACTCGTTCTCAGATACAAACAAGCTCTTAAGAGCAAAGGCTGCCTGAGCAGCTTATTGCACGGAGGAAGCAGGAGAAGAGAAAAGATTATGTGAATATCATGCAAGTAGTAATGAAGAATAAAAACAGGAAAGTATTAATCGAAGATGTGATTTTCCCTATGTAATCAAGAATTTTGTCATGCTTACTCCATGAGGCAGGTAAGTACGGAGGAAGGTAACAGTGACCAGAAGATTCCCTTTAGTAAACATCTCCTCAGGGATCTGTGAAGTCAGGAATCTCAGCTCCTGTTACAAATCGAAGGCCATTAATTACCATGGTGTCTGAAGTTGTCAATAGCCCACCCCTTTAATTCCCACATAATCACTTCAATTATTGTGCTCATTGTATGTAGTTATTGCTTGTCTCCTCCCACAGAATGTAAGACCCATGACAGAAGAGACCATATCCATCTTTTTAGAAAAGTCCTTGACCTGTAATACTCATTCAAAAATGGTTATGGAATTGATGAATTCTACAACCTGAAAAAAAAGTTAATACTCTGTCTTCTGAAAAACAAAAACAATACAAAACAAGTGCATTATCTTCAATGGCCTGCAGTATAATAATATTAAAAACTGTAGCCTTATTTTCAAGGTCTTGAGGACCTGAATGATCTGTTCCAAATCTAGTATCCTCTGTTTCTTTCCAAATTCTTCTGTCTAGACATCCTGTGCTCCAGCCACAGAAAGTACTTTCATTCCCTCGGCTTATGCTTTTTTTTTTTTTTTCTTTTGAGAGGGAGTCAGTCTCTGTCGCCCAGGCTGGAGTGCAGTGGCGCGATCTCGGCTCACTGCAACCTCCACCTCCCAGGTTCAAGCGATTCTCCTGCCTCAGCCTCCCAAGTAGCTGGGACTACAAGCACACGCCACCACGCCCGGCTAATTTTTTGTATTTTTAGTAGAGACGGGGTTTCACCGTGTTAGCCAGGATGGTCTCGAACTCCTGACCTCGGGATCCACCCGCCTTGGCTTCCCAAAGTGCTGGGATTACAGGAGTGAGCCACCGTGCCTGGCCCAGGTTATTCTTTTAAACTGTTCAGACCATCTCACATTGCATCCTTCGCTCATGCACTGTTTTGCTCAATCTTTACCTTTTCTCTTCCACATCATCTTACAAGAACCACCCAGGTGGTATGTTCTCACTGACGTTTCCACCATTCCCCTTAGAATGAACCTCTCTCCTCTGATTTCCTGTGGTATATCACAACATGCATTTTAATCTTTTCCACACTTACTGTGTTTTATTACTCTCTCCTCCATCTAACTGGAAACTCATTGCGAAGAGAGAGATTTGGATATCCACCTTCCTGTTGACTTGCCCAGATGTCTATCACGGTGCCTTCCGTATCCCAGGAGGACGTTGAACATTGGCAGGCATGCCTAGCTGAAAGCCGATGCACCGAGGCCTGCTCCATGCTAAGGCTGTAATTCTTCACCCCAAGAATCTTCATTCTGGTCTTCAAGTATTCAAGGTAAACAGTCAGTTGTAGGCAATAATGTTATGTGACTTCTTCTGTAATTCCTTCTTCTTTTGTATCTATTTTTGCCTGGGTGGGGGTGGGAGAAAGGGGTGTGAGAAACTCAAGTCCTGATGTCATGGTTTGCTCTTCCTTTTCAACATTCATAGACCCCAGGTCCCAGTGCCCAAAGAGTCTCTTTCTTTTATCTACTAATTATTAACTGGGGATGCAAAGCAGAATCTCCAGCTTGAGGCACCCAAGGTGTCTCCTGTCAGAGCTCCATTTCAATAGTACATGTTATGGTTTGAATGTGTCTCCAAAAGTTTATGTGTTGAACACAGGAGTAAATTCATTATGGGGTGAGTGGGTTTGTTATAAAAGTGAGTTCAGCCTCCTCTTGCTGTGTGTCTTATGTGCTTTCTTGCACTGCCACCTGGCACCGTGGAAGAATGCAGTGAGAAGCCCCTCACCAGATGCTGGCCCCTAAATCCTGACCTTCTCAGCCTTCAGAACTGTGAGGAAGCAAATTTCTGTTTATTATAAATTACCCAGTCTGTGGCATTCTGATATAGCAGCGAGAAACAAAGACAGCACTCCTCTGTCTGAGCGTCCACACTCTCCTCCCTGAATCCTGATGAGCATATTGTCTGTCCTCCCTCAGGCACAAGTGAAGCAGCCTACTCTGCGACACAATGGCTCCTGGCCCTTTGGCATTAGGGAGGGAAACACGGAGCAGGGAACCCCTGAGTGTGCTGCTTCACAATGCACGATCCCCAGGTGCTGGGAAGGGCTGACAAGTAAGATCAGAGGGACAAATGAGAACATGGGGACAAGTTGTGAGATGAGGGACCTGTGGCTCTGGAATTGTATTTCTGGGAAACTGCAAGGAAGCTGTGTGTGTGTGTGTGTGTGTGTGTGTCTGTGTGTGTGTGTGTGTGTGTCTGTGTGTGTGCAAGTATTTGAAAGAAACTAAAAATAGAGAAATTCAATCATACTAGTATCTCCAACTGCTTCTGAGTCTGTGACTAGACCAATGATAATAAATGATAAAGAACTACCATGCATTTATTTATTCAAGAAACATTTACTGAATACCTGCCCTCGTTCAAGTAAAAGACTTAATGGTAGGAAAGTCATATGTTAAATAAATTCAATTTTTGTTACAAAGAAATACAAGACTGCCATTAGAGAATACACAGGGGACCTGATATGTCTGCTCTGTGGGGGAAGGTTCTCCCTAAAT
The DNA here is from genome assembly GCF_000001405.40 of Homo sapiens. Lineage (NCBI taxonomy): Eukaryota > Metazoa > Chordata > Mammalia > Primates > Hominidae > Homo > Homo sapiens. The sequence continues at coordinate 112,784 of NT_187545.1, read as the reverse complement.
GTAAAGTTTAAGATGAAACCCGAGGGATAAGTAGCTGTTATGAGAGGGAGGATTAGAGGAACATTACAGTGTAGGGGAAATCTTTGTATCAAGACACATTTTGAGGCCGGGCAAGGTGGCACATGCCTATAATCCCAGCACTTTGGGAGGCTGAGGCGGGTGGATCACCTAAGGTCAGGAGTTCGTAACCAGCCTGACTAACATGGTGAAACCCCATCTCCACTAAATACAAAAAAATTAGCTGGGCGTGGTGGTGCATGCCTGTAATCTGAGCTACTTGGGAGGCTGAGACAGGAGAATCCCTTGTACCTAGGAGGCAGAGGTTGCAGTGAGCCGAGATGGCGCCATTGCACTCCAGCCTGGGCAACAAGAGCAAAACTCCCTCTCAAAAAAAAAAAAAGAAAAAGAAACATTTTGATCAACCACTAGAATTGTATTGTGGTTGGAGCAGAAAGTAAGAAGAGTGATAGGGCTACTGAGGTGGGTAGGACTGGAGCATGGAAGCTGTTCTGGAATGGACTTGGTCTGCATCCTTGAGGACATGGGGGCCAATAGAGATGCTTAGCAGGGAAATGACAGGTGCAGGCTTGCATTTTTAAAGCTAAATCACTATAGCAAGGCAAGGGAGGCAAGAGGACAAAACTAAAATTATGTTTCAGAAGTTGAATAGCAACACCATGGCAGTGTGTGTGAACTGCAATGCCATTCAAGCCTATTTGCTTTACTATATTGTAAGTTATGTGTGTCCTTATATATATCAGATTAACAGTATGCTTGCTTGCTTGGCTGCAGTGCTAACCTCTGAAAACATGTATTCAGCCTGCATCCATAATATGGTAGTGGCAAGGTATTAACAGAACCAGGTATAGGTGAAATGTTTTCTGAATTTTCCTCTTGTTTCCTCTCAAGATTGTGATCCAGCTTCCCTCATCTAATTTATTTGCTCCACTCATTCATATGGATGAGAAATCTTTATTTATTTTTTAAGCCTATACATGGCTGATTATTTGTAAACTTAAAGAAACTGTCCCAGAAACTCTTCTGCTCAGTGTAAGGGTCAGATAACAGCTATGAAAACATTACTGACTGCAAAAAAAGTACATGTTTCCTGCCCAAGAGAAAGAGCATAGTGGCCCCAATTCAATCTCCTAATACAGCTATTAGAAAAAGAAGAATGAGTTTTCTGCTCAGAAAATATTCTTTCTTCTCAATAGCTCACTCCATGGCTAACTGTCCACTTTGTACAGCAAAAGTTAGTTCTGTCCAAGTATTTCAATTTGGCAGAACAGACTTTAAGGCCAAAATAATTTAGTAAAAAATTCACTAATCTTCCATTTCATGGCAGGGAATATTGAAGATCATTTGATAAAAAGAAACATTATAAACGTTAGGTAACAACTATCAGGAATTGAACTGTGTGATTTGTTAAGGGAATTCACATATGCCTTATTTCTTCTTATAAACTGAAATTCAACCACATCTCAGACTTAGAAAAATAGAATTTTAAAGATTATAAGATTTATAATAAATAGAAATTTCAGAATAGGAAATACAGAATCTTGAGATTGAAACAAATGACCACTAGTCCAACACCATCTCATACTTCAATCTTCTCAAGGGCATTCTAATCAATTGGTAGTTTTTCCTGCGTTTAAGGATTTGAAGTGTCAGAGGTCTCAATAGTTTCAGAAAAGGACTTCTAGAGAGAGCTGCTATCTCTTCAGTTACCCCCGAGATCAAGCGAATCGAGCGTACTTCCTCTGGACCTAACAGTCTCATGGCACACCCCCAGCTCTCCACCTGGGCCACACTGGACACGGCAGTTACTTCTCGTTTCATCCTAGCTGTGCTCCTGCGCATGAAAACTTCATCTGCTCCCTGCAGCTTCCTTGATTTTGCCAGGCCTGACTTTTAACGCTTACTGTATAAGCAATTAACAGGATTTGAAAAGTCAATGGGAAACAGATCTTCAAGAGCATTCTCTGAATACCAGCACCCCGTGAAGCGGTTTTAAAATGTGCAGCATCGCCCTAGAGATACTCTGACCCCAGTCAATTATTAGGGGGATTATGAGAGTCCAAACAGCATTTATCAAACTGACAGAAAAAAACAAAATCCCAAACTAGTACATACCTTTTGTAGCAAGTTATTTTAGTAGAAGAAGTTTTGCTTTTGAAAATATGGATGAAACTACAGGTTCATTTCTCTGCTTAGTCAGAATATGGAATAATAATGAAGGGGCCACTTTTTACAGAAGCTTTCCAATAGCCTCACTTCCTACTGCTCCTCCTTTTCACCCTGAGTCCTAAACTAACTCCAAAGATAAATTCCCAGCCCTGGGCAAGTAGTCTCCCAGAGGGTAGCACTGTTACAAGAAGATAGAACATATCATAGGTTCTTCCTCATAGCGTGGCCCTCGGGGACACCTGATGTGTGCCCATAGTGTTGATTAAAAATTCCCCTTCCATCCTATAGCACCCTTAGCCTTGGGTTATTTCAAATTAGACCTGCTCTTTTCCCAGTTGAAAATGGAGTACCACCTGTAGACGCTTTTTTCTCTTGTTAGCATGGTATAATGATTTAATGAGAATCGCTGGGTTACAAATGCACAGATGACTTTCCTTTTATTCCTTTTTTCTATTTGATAAAATTATCTCAACAGAACGACACTAACACTTTTATTTCCTTTGCGGGGAAAAGCGTGTCCTTCTACTGATCAGAATAGCTAACTTCAACTTTCCTTTGTCATCGTCCTGGTATCTCTTTAAGCTATGACAATCCAGTACATACCTGATACCCTCAGTAATTGTGATAAGTTGAATAGAAACAGTGCCTTCATCTCAAAAACTGTTTAACATTTTACTGTTCAATATATTCTACTACTCATGGGAGTACCAAGAAATAAGATTTTACAAATCATTATCAGAAGAAAGATACTCATCAAATATATAATCATTCTTAAGGAGAAATAGTGGATTGCTTTTTTTCTCATTTGAAGCATTGACTCTAGACTCATTTATAGCAAAATGATTTATTTATCATTGCTGAGCAGAGGAAATTGCTTTTTAAAAAATCAGCACTCCTTTATTTTCTAAAATAATCATGGTAGCACAGAAGACACTAAGAATTGGCACTGTCACCTGAATTCTCTCCACCCTCCAAACCTGCCATTTCCCTGGGAGCCTTAAGATCAGCTTGAATTGACTTTCCCAAGAGTTGTTTTTCTGTCTTTTCCCTAATTTCCTGAGGTTTCTGTATGTATGCCTAAGAGCCAATAATTGTCTTGAAGAGACCGACATAAAAATAAATGAGATGTCTAAAATTCATTTTTATCTCATAAATGTTACACCTTGTCAATTAAAACAAATATCCCTTTTCTGTGCCAAGAAACTATTTTCTTTTATATTCACAATCTGCTTCAACTGCCATCGGGTACAAGAAAAACCTCTAACAGATGGGAATTGGTAAATGGCAATTGCAGCTAGAGCTGACTATATGAATAACAAATGGAAGATGTATTCTGTGAGTTACCTTGGAAGGCAAATATGCTTATGAGGGCTTTGTACGATGTTGTGACATCAGTTCTGAGAATAAGATTGAGGCCTGCAAATTGAATCAAAGGAAATGTTATATATATATGTAAATAGATGTAATATATATATACGCACACACATACACATCCTGTGTGTATATATGGTGTGTATGTATGTACACACACCATATATGTATAGATATATGCACACATATATACATATATATGTGTATATATACGTATATGTGTGTGTGTATATGTGATGTGTATATATATCGCCCTTTATCTCACATTCCATAAAGTCATCAAGGTTGTCAAGACCTTTCTGTTGTTTTTAGAAATATTTTGGATAAGTAAAAAAGGTATGACAATTTCAAAGCTGGAAGGATTATACAGTCATCCTAAATTTATGGGCTGCAATGGTCTTACATTAACCTTTAACCTCACTTTTCATGAGAAATAGACAGAAATATTTAGTTGGGTAAATGCAGTGATTATTCTCTTTCTAGGAGCATAAACTGCTGTAAACTTGGGGCCTAGAGAAAGGCTTAGATCGCAGTCATTCTCTTGGCTTTGATTCCAGATGTTTGTACAGACTCAGTAAAGTGAAGTCTCTGTCCTCTTTCGGGGCAAAACCATAGGATTGTCCATCTCTGCTTTTCATTCCTCCCCAAACCCGCTGCCTGCTGCTCCTCTCACACTTTTCTTTCGAGTCTTCCCAGCACTTGCTTAAGAATACCAGTGGCAAGAGGCGTGCAGCCCATGAAGAACAGTCCTGGGTGAAAGCTGGGCTGGCAGGGGGAAGAAAGCGCAGGTGGATTTCCTCCATGGCTTTTGCTTTTCCCCATTCACCTGTGCTTATGTAATCACAGCCTGGAGTTTTCAGGAATAAAGCGACTAGTTATCACTGCTGGTTACACGGGTTGGTCCCAACCTGAATTCTGTACTACCCTTTCAATGAGAGACGCAGGTATGGGAGAAGGGACTTGACAGGAGACGGAGGTTTACTTTTCTCCTAGGACCTTTTGTTTGTTTTCAGAAATTAAAAAAAAAAAAAACACAATAACCACAATCATATAAGATGTTTAAATCCAATATATGAGCATGCCATTATTTTCATTGATCTTTGAAACGGATTCAGTACATTCCTATGAAGCAATGGAACACAATTTGGGATGAGAATTTCTCCAAGTGAGATTCACATTATCATTATGGCTGTCAAGGATTTAGAAATTAGGTTGTTTGCTGATTACTCTTCAATCATTCAATCAACAAGAAGGTATGCTGGGAATATAATGAGTTTTCTTAACCTCAAATTGAAGATGAACATCAGTTTGTTTTTTATTTTTTTGGTTTTGTACAACATCATAATTGAAGAGATCATCACAATCAAAGTATGTTTGCATTCAAAATCATCATCATCATCAACACTTAAAAATACTTTTTCAAACTTTATCATGCTTTTCTATCCATGCGGTACCCATGTATGCTGAGTCACACAGATAACTGCACAGAGACCCTGATTTTCCCTATCGTCTCCCCATGCTGAGTCACACAGATAACTACACAGAGACTGATTTTCCCTATCGTCTCCCCATGCTGAGTCACACAGATTAACTACACAGAGACCCTGATTTTCCCTATCGTCTCCCCATGCTGAGTCACACAGATTAACTACACAGAGACCCTGATTTTCCCTATTGTCTCCCCATGCTGAGTCACACAGATAACTACACAGAGACCCTGATTTTCCCTATCGTCTCCCCATGCTGAGTCACACAGATAACTACACAGAGACCCTGATTTTCCCTATCGTCTCCCCATGCTGAGTCACACAGATAACTACACAGAGACCCTGATTTTCCCTATCGTCTCACCATGCTGAGTCACACAGATAACTACACAGAGACCCTGATTTTCCCTATCGTCTCCCCATGCTGAGTCACACAGATAACTACACAGAGACCCTGATTTTCCCTATCGTCTCCCCATGCTGAGTCACAGAGATTAACTACACAGAGACCCTGATTTTCCCTATCGTCTCCCCATGCTGAGTCACACAGATAACTACACAGAGACCCTGATTTTCCCTATCGTCTCCCCATGCTGAGTCACAGAGATTAACTACACAGAGACCCTGATTTTCCCTATCGTCTCCCCATGCTGAGTCACACAGATAACTACACAGAGACCCTGATTTTCCCTATCGTCTCCCCATGCTGAGTCACACAGATAACTACACAGAGACCCTGATTTTCCCTATCGTCTCCCCATGCTGAGTCACACAGATAACTACACAGAGACCCTGATTTTCCCTATCGTCTCCCCATGCTGAGTCACACAGATAACTACACAGAGACCCTGATTTTCCCTATCATCTCCCCATGCTGAGTCACAGAGATTAACTACACAGAGACCCTGATTTTCCCTATCGTCTCCCCATGCTGAGTCACACAGATAACTACACAGAGACCCTGATTTTCCCTATCGTCTCCCCATGCTGAGTCACACAGATAACTACACAGAGACCCTGATTTTCCCTATCGTCTCCCCATGCTGAGTCACACAGATAACTACACAGAGACCCTGATTTTCCCTATCGTCTCCCCATGCTGAGTCACAGAGATTAACTACACAGAGACCCTGATTTTCCCTATCGTCTCCCCATGCTGAGTCACACAGATTAACTACACAGAGACCCTGATTTTCCCTATCGTCTCCCCATGCTGAGTCACACAGATAACTACACAGAGACCCTGATTTTCCCTATCGTCTCCCCATGCTGAGTCACACAGATAACTACACAGAGACCCTGATTTTCCCTATCGTCTCCCCATGCTGAGTCACACAGATAACTACACAGAGACCCTGATTTTCCCTATCGTCTCCCCATGCTGAGTCACACAGATAACTACACAGAGACCCTGATTTTCCCTATCGTCTCCCCATGCTGAGTCACACAGATAACTACACAGAGACCCTGATTTTCCCTATCGTCTCCCCATGCTGAGTCACAGAGATTAACTACACAGAGACCCTGATTTTCCCTATCGTCTCCCCATGCTGAGTCACACAGATTAACTACACAGAGACCCTGATTTTCCCTATCGTCTCCCCATGCTGAGTCACAGAGATTAACTACACAGAGACCCTGATTTTCCCTATCGTCTCCCCATGCTGAGTCACAGAGATTAACTACACAGAGACCCTGATTTTCCCTATCATCTCCCCATGCTGAGTCACACAGATAACTACACAGAGACCCTGATTTTCCCTATCGTCTCCCCATGCTGAGTCACACAGATAACTACACAGAGACCCTGATTTTCCCTATCGTCTCCCCATGCTGAGTCACACAGATTAACTACACAGAGACCCTGATTTTCCCTATCGTCTCCCCATGCTGAGTCACACAGATTAACTACACAGAGACCCTGATTTTCCCTATCATCTCCCCATGCTGAGTCACACAGATTAACTACACAGAGACCCTGATTTTCCCTATCGTCTCCCCATGCTGAGTCACACAGATAACTACACAGAGACCCTGATTTTCCCTATCGTCTCCCCATGCTGAGTCACAGAGATTAACTACACAGAGACCCTGATTTTCCCTATCGTCTCCCCATGCTGAGTCACACAGATTAACTACACAGAGACCCTGATTTTCCCTATCGTCTCCCCATGCTGAGTCACAGAGATTAACTACACAGAGACCCTGATTTTCCCTATCGTCTCCCCATGCTGAGTCACACAGATAACTACACAGAGACCCTGATTTTCCCTATCGTCTCCCCATGCTGAGTCACACAGATAACTACACAGAGACCCTGATTTTCCCTATCGTCTCCCCATGCTGAGTCACACAGATAACTACACAGAGACCCTGATTTTCCCTATCGTCTCCCCATGCTGAGTCACAGAGATTAACTACACAGAGACCCTGATTTTCCCTATCGTCTCCCCATGCTGAGTCACACAGATTAACTACACAGAGACCCTGATTTTCCCTATCGTCTCCCCATGCTGAGTCACAGAGATTAACTACACAGAGACCCTGATTTTCCCTATCGTCTCCCCATGCTGAGTCACACAGATAACTACACAGAGACCCTGATTTTCCCTATCGTCTCCCCATGCTGAGTCACACAGATAACTACACAGAGACCCTGATTTTCCCTATCGTCTCCCCATGCTGAGTCACACAGATAACTACACAGAGACCCTGATTTTCCCTATCGTCTCCCCATGCTGAGTCACACAGATAACTACACAGAGACCCTGATTTTCCCTATCGTCTCCCCATGCTGAGTCACACAGATAACTACACAGAGACCCTGATTTTCCCTATCGTCTCCCCATGCTGAGTCACACAGATAACTGCACAGAGACCCTGATTTTCCCTATCGTCTCCCCATGCTGAGTCACACAGATAACTACACAGAGACCCTGATTTTCCCTATCGTCTCCCCATGCTGAGTCACACAGATAACTACACAGAGACCCTGATTTTCCCTATCGTCTCCCCATGCTGAGTCACACAGATAACTACACAGAGACCCTGATTTTCCCTATCGTCTCCCCATGCTGAGTCACACAGATAACTACACAGAGACCCTGATTTTCCCTATCGTCTCCCCATGCTGAGTCACACAGATAACTACACAGAGACCCTGATTTTCCCTATCGTCTCCCCATGCTGAGTCACACAGATAACTACACAGAGACCCTGATTTTCCCTATCGTCTCCCCATGCTGAGTCACAGAGATTAACTACACAGAGACCCTGATTTTCCCTATCGTCTCCCCATGCTGAGTCACACAGATTAACTACACAGAGACCCCGATTTTCCCTATCATCTCCCCATGTTGAGTCACACAGATAACTACACAGAGACCCTGATTTTCCCTATCGTCTCCCCATGGTGAGTCACACAGATAACTACACAGAGACCCTGATTTTCCCTATCATCTCCCCATGCTGAGTCACAGAGATTAACTACACAGAGACCCTGATTTTCCCTATGGTCTCCCCATGCTGAGTCACACAGATTAACTACACAGAGACCCTGATTTTCCCTATCGTCTCCCCATGCTGAGTCACACAGATAACTACACAGAGACCCTGATTTTCCCTATCGTCTCCCCATACTGAGTCACACAGATAACTACACAGAGACCCTGATTTTCCCTATCGTCTCCCCATGCTGAGTCACACAGATAACTACACAGAGACCCTGATTTTCCCTATCGTCTCCCCATGCTGAGTCACACAGATAACTACACAGAGACCCTGATTTTCCCTATCGTCTCCCCATGCTGAGTCACACAGATAACTACACAGAGACCCTGATTTTCCCTATCGTCTCCCCATGCTGAGTCACACAGATTAACTACACAGAGACCCTGATTTTCCCTATCGTCTCCCCATGCTGAGTCACAGAGATTAACTACACAGAGACCCTGATTTTCCCTATCGTCTCCCCATGCTGAGTCACAGAGATTAACTACACAGAGACCCTGATTTTCCCTATCGTCTCCCCATGCTGAGTCACACAGATAACTACACAGAGACCCTGATTTTCCCTATCGTCTCCCCATGCTGAGTCACAGAGATTAACTACACAGAGACCCTGATTTTCCCTATCGTCTCCCCATGCTGAGTCACACAGATAACTACACAGAGACCCTGATTTTCCCTATCGTCTCCCCATGCTGAGTCACACAGATAACTACACAGAGACCCTGATTTTCCCTATCGTCTCCCCATGCTGAGTCACACAGATAACTACACAGAGACCCTGATTTTCCCTATCATCTCCCTTGTGTTTTGTTTTTCAGTTTCTTCCCTTGAACAAGTCTCCTTCTATTCCCAGGGGCCCCCTGTCCTCATGCTGTTTCCTGACTCCCCAGATGCCCTCTGTGCGCCTTGTCCCATCTCTCTGTGCCCCTCACGGGGTATTGCCCAATGGCTCAGCAGATAATGCTAAACCAACCTGTGCTTTGTAGAGCTTCATAAATGTGCAACCTTGCTCAATTGTATGGTGCTTATGGCCCAAGTGAACATTTTTAGGAACCTCCTTACATTCGTATGGTATGTTTCTACCACCCCGTCTGGGAATGATCTGTAAGACAGAGTAGATAATATTCTTTATCTAGCATCCTCCCCCATGTACAGCATAGGTGCACCTGCTCACACACCTCGCAAGAACACTTAACTATAGGCCATAGGAAAACTTTAATTCATAGAAATATAGATACGTATTATAAAGATTCCATGTGTTGATTACATGTAGACAATAACATGCCCATAAATCACGTCTCCATTTTGAAGTGACCTAGCAGCACTGCTCAAGATCATCAACCGACAGAGTCTTCCTTGTCCTTGGTACCTTATCCACAGGCCTCTGATCTGCTCCATGACTTACGCATCCTACTCTTCACATCTTCTGAAAATGTTTTGCTGATGGTCCCCTGGAGCTCATGCTCAATTGTCCTTTGTCTGTGAATGTTGTTTCCTCACTTTCCTAAAGTTAGGCAGGAGCAAAAAGCACTTTAATCTTAGGCTAGAAAATAACTAAATGCCTACTACCTCATTTTTTCTTCTCTTTGCATCCCAAAACCAGACAGACAGAAACCCAGCCTACAGATTATGTGTTCTTTTCTTTGTTTCTTTTCTTTTAAGTTTGTTGTTCAAACCCAATGTCACTGCTCCCACTTGCAATCTGCCCAGCACTATTTTACCAGAAAATTCCTTACGTGTAGATTGATAAAGACATTGTGGCCGGGCGCGGTGGCTCACGCCTGTAATCCCAGCACTTTGGGTGGCCGAGGCAGGCGGATCACCTGAGATTGGGAGTTCGAGACCAGCCTGACCAACATGGAGAACCCCCGTCTCTACTAAAAATACAAAATTAGCCAGGGTTGGTGACACATGCCTGTAGTCCCAGCTACTCAGGAGGCTGAGGCAGGAGAATCGCTTGAACCCGGGAGGCAGAGGTTGCAGTGAGCCAAGATCACGCCATTGCACCGGAGCCTGGGCGACAGAGCGAAACTCTGTCTCAAAAAAAAGAAGACATTGTGCTATTCTCCCCAATAAATTCCTGTTATTCTAACAAGGGCTTTCTTGAAATACATACCTTGAAACATGGAGGAGTGTCACTAATGGTGGAAATTAGATATCACTTCCAGATAATGGGGGGATGTTAGCTATCAGTTCCAGATAATAGGGGGATGTTAGCTATCACTTCCAGATAATGGGGGGGATGTTAGATATCACTTCCAGATAATGGGTGGATGTTAGATATCACTTCCAGATAATGGGGTGACGTTAGATAACACTTCCAGATAATGGGGGATGTTAGATATTCACTTCCAGATAATGGGATGTTAGCTATCACTTCCAGATAATGGGGGGATGTTAGCTATCACTTCCAGATAATGGGGGGATGTTAGATATCACTTCCAGATAATGGGGGGATGTTAGATATCACTCCAGATAATGGGGGGGATGTTAGATAACACTTCCAGATAATGGGGAGATGTTAGATATTCACTTCCGGATAATGGGGGATGTCAGATAACACTTCCAGATAATGGGGGATGTTAGATATCACTTCCGGATAATGGGGGGATGTTAGATATCACTTCCAGATAATGGGCAGATGTTAGCCATCACTTCCAGATAATGGGGTGATGTTAGATAACACTTCCAGATAATGGGGGGATGTTAGATATTCACTTCTGGATAATGGGGGGATGTTAGCTATCACTTCCAGATAATGGGGGGATGTTAGATATCACTTCCAGATAATGGGGGGATGTTAGCTATCACTTCCAGATAATGGGGGGAAGTTAGATATTCACTTCCAGATAATGGGGGGATGTTAGCTATCACTTCCAGATAATGGGGGAAAGTTAGATATTCACTTCCAGATAATGGGTGGATGTTAGATATCACTTTCAGATAATGGTGGGGATTTTAGATATCACTTCCAGATAATGGAGGGATGTTAGATATCACTTCCAGAAAACGACCCCTCCAGTGAGGCTGCATCTAACCCTCCCCTGCCCAGCATCTAGCCATGGCTCCCTCTGAACCTTCACCTACAGAATTCTCCTGAATGGGAAATTTCTTGACACCTATTATAAAGATTCCACGTGTTGCATTACATGTAGACAAGAACATTCCCATAAATCACATCTCCATTTTTAAGTGACCTAGCAGCATTCTCTCTCTCTCTCTTATGTCCATAATATTTATTAAAGATAGCAACCATAGGCCGGGCGGGGTGGCTCACGCCTGTAATCCCAGCACTTTGGGATGCCAAGGTGGGCGGATCACGAGGTCAGGAGATCGAGACCATCCTGGCTAACACGGTAAAACCCCATCTCTACTAAAAATATAAAAAATTAGCCGGCGTGGTGGCGGGCGCCTGTAGTCCTAGCTACTCGGGAGGCTGAGGCAGGAGAATGGCGTGAACCTGGGAGGCGGGGCTTGCAGTGAGCCGAGACTGTGCCACCGCACTCCAGCCTGGGCGACAGAGCGAGTCTCTGTCTCAAAAAAAAAAAAAAAAAAAAAGATGGCAACCATATTCCTCTGTAACATCACATAATCATTTTGGTTGCTGTTGTGGTTTAAAATCCACTTTTATAACAATCCTTTAAACTAATATATAAATATTACCAATATATAAATATATAATATAAATAATATGATATAATATAACAATATCAAAGAGAGAGAGAGACGTCCCTCTGTATCCATGTGGAATTGGTTCCAGGACCTCCTGCTAATATCAAAATCCGTGGATGCTCAAGACCCTGATATAAAATGGCATAGTATTTGCATATAACCTATGCACATCCCCTTGTATATTTTAAATCATCCTTAAATTACTTATAATACCTAATACAATGTGAATGCTACGTAAATAGTTCTTATACTGCGTTGTTTAGGGAATACTGACCAAAAAGGTCTATAGATATTCAGTAAGGATGAATTCTTTTTTTTACAAACTGACATTATTAGCAAAGAAAATAAACTTTTTACACCAAAAAAGAGTATTTTTCACCACACAAATAAAAGATGGTATATATATGTGTGTGTATATATGGTATGTATATGTGTATATACACACACCATATATATACCAAATATATGCACCATAGATATACCAAATACATATATACACACACGCTATATATATGCACCATATAGATACACCATATATATTTATATTTATATTTATATATATATACATATATATATATGGTGAGGATATACAAATCCTTCCATATAAGGCTAGTCAGTAAATCTCAACAATTAAAAAGGTCATTTTCAATGGCCGATTAATCACAGAACAATTTAAAAACTATATAAAATTAAACCTACACACATATTAGAAATACAGTCCAATTCACTTATATACCCAACACACTTTAAAGTGGACACAGAAAAATGTTATTTACTGGCTTTAAAAAATATGTATTAAACTCATGTACTATTGTTTAAAGAGTACCCACAAAATTCTCACTTCAATGTTTCTTTGTAAAAGAAGTGGAAATCTATAATCCAAAGACCCTTTTCAAAAATGAGCTACTGATAAATGCAATGGATTTATAACTTCTGTAACATTTCATTCATGTTGTGAATTTTCTTGAGCATTATATTATAATTAACTTGCAGATGCAATTTTTAAAAAATATTTTTATCCTTGGTTGGTTGAATCCATGGATGCAGAACCCGTGGATATGGAGGGCCAACTGTATTTTTTTCACTACAGAATATGAACCTGTTAAATTTAATCGCTATTTGAGGCAGAGAGATACCTTCACACCTTCAAATCACACTGTGCAGGTGGCCACCTGACTTACCTATATGCTCAAGCACTACATAGAAAGTGCTTCTACTGAGAAGGCAACATAATGAATTCTAATATGAAAATGCACAGCCACTTAATTATAATAGTCATATTTATATTCGCCATATACCCTAAGAAAACTGACACAATAGAAATATAAACTGACATATTCCAGGGCCCCACACACGCTGGTCTTTGTATATTGTCAGTTTCACGGGAACAGCAGAAATGGATGAATAATGTAAAACTTTGCCATATTTTTTAAGAGCATGACGTAGAAGGATCGCGTAGTGCTTGTGTCTCTCGTGTCCAGTTAGGAAAACAAAACCAATTCTAAGCATTCCAAACACATTGGATTTGAACATTGGTTTTAAACGTCACAAAAAGCCAGGCAGGAACAACAAGGGGATGAGGCTCCCCAAAGACTGGTACCTGAGGAACTGCTGTTCGTAACTGCTGTTCGTAACTTCAGGATGCCACAACCACCCCATGAGCCAAAAACAACCCCAAAGAGCAATGGTGTAGCCCCAAGTCCACGCAGCTGTGGGCTGAGGAGGCTGGAGTCCTTCTTTAGCCACTGCCGGATGCAGTGAGCACTGCCACTGCCACTGCACAGGAAGCCAGGAGCTCACACTCCTGATACAGCAAGAGCCAGGGCCCAGGAGTACTGGTGGTTACAAAGCTGTCAGAGCAGCTGCTGCTGCTGCTGCCATTGGAACTGTGCCACCTTAGAGGGAACCCGGGCTTGCATCCACTTGTCACTGTGGTTACTGCTGCCAAGGGCACCACCAGGAAAAACAATGACTAAAAATATGGATTTGCTCTTTCTCCCACCTTCCCATTTCTTGCCAGTGCCTCCCATTATCAAAATCTTATTAAATACCAGTCAGAAGGCAGTGTGGAAAATGTAGCTTGCAGATATCCAGTCCCCTGTGATACAGAAAAGAGCACAGAATGGGGGTGCGCACCGACAGACAAATCACTGACCTGGCGCTGTGGGTGTGGAGCTCTGTAAGTAGACAGCTCTGTAAGAAGCCTGCCTGGACACAGGTCCCTCTCCCCAGATTCCAGCTCATCTCACTACCAGATGCTCTTTCTATTTCTGTGCTCCTTACTCTTCCCTCTCTCTCCTCTCTCTCTCTTTTTGCTACCATTCCCTATCCCTGAATCCACCTAGATTTCCACTCTTTTTTTTTTGAGACAGAGTCACTCTGTCGCCCAGGCTGGAGTGCAGTGGCACTATCTCGGCTCATTGCAAGCTCTGCCTCCCGGGTTCAAGCAATTCTCCTGCCTCAGCCTCCCGAGTGTAACTGGGATTACAGGTGCCCGCCACCAGGCCCGGCTAATTTTTTGTATTTTCAGTAGAGATGGTGTTTCACCGTGTTAGCCAGGATGGTCTCAATCTCCTGACCTCGTGATCCGCCCGCCTCAGCCTCCCAAAGTGCTGGGATTACAGGCGTGAGCCACCGTGCCAGGCTGGATTTCCACTCTTGTTCAGGAACTATGTCAACCACTCTAAGACACCTGGAGGGCCCAATGGTCACTTGCCACATTTTCTCTTACTCCATTGTCAGGAAAGTATGTGGATCCTCATAGAAACTGTAGGTTTTTTACTTTATCCGGTTGGTTCCCTCACAAGAAATCCACCTTATTATAGTAAGAAAACTGGAATTGGAGATCAAAGACTGGCTCTAGTATCATATCCACTGATCATGTGTAATATTAACTTGGGAAAATCTTTTCATATTTTGAGCATCAGTTTCTTTATGTGTAAGATCAAGGAGTTGACTGAGATCTAAATTTTTTTCCCACTCAATGTTATGAGGGTTTGTAAAATTCAGTTGTTTAAAATACCTGATTACTGTCTCATTAATTTTAAAAAAACTTTTCACAACTAAGTCTATAATGAGGTATTGCTCCTCACCCTTGAGGGCATTAGCTGCGGGGGTCTGCCCATGGACCCTGACCCAAACGACAGGCGAATAAAACGTACACTGACACAGATATTCTGCTTTGCCAGTCCTGCTGAGTGTCCGACCGCCTGCACACCAAGAGTGGTTTGTCACTGTGGCTGGCCCTGAGCAGCTCGCACTCCAGGC
Organism: Homo sapiens; assembly: GCF_000001405.40. Lineage (NCBI taxonomy): Eukaryota > Metazoa > Chordata > Mammalia > Primates > Hominidae > Homo > Homo sapiens. The sequence goes on along the minus strand of NT_187545.1, from coordinate 97,290 downwards.
ATTTATTTGGTATACAATTAACAACAGAAGCTCTGAGTCAACACACTTGTGGATAATTAACATGGTTAAGAGAGTAGTTCTAGGAATGATTAAAGCTCAGGTACCAAGGTCTAAGGTAAATACCATTAGGGGACAATATCCCTAGTCAACCTCCCCACAAGTGGGCCATCTGGCTCAAAGGTTAGTTATTGGAGGTAGGGTAAACAGACTTAAGTGGGGAAGCCTCTGTTGTCCCTAGTATTTACCCTAAGACCTAATGCTCTAAGGTAAGAACCGGCTGCCTCAGCCTGTTCAATTATTACAAGCTATGTAAACTTTCAGCCTTCCAAAAGGTTTGTGACTATTCCCTATAACTTTCCCTAGTATTTCCCTTTAATATTTCTGCCACCATCTGAGTGAATCCCAACACTACAACATATAAGAAGAAAAAAAAACAGAGACCGAGGCCAAGAATAAAAACTATAAACCCATCATATGATCAAATACATTTTTAGAGTCCAAACCATGGTGCAGAATATCCTGAGTTTCCTCATGTTCTCTCTCGCTCCACTGAAAGTCTACTGTTACGGCCACAGAGGACCCGTCTCTCTGGGCTCCCACATTCTTTCCTCCCTACCTTACAGTTCCTAAGTCTCTTTGGCCTTTTACCCTTACCATAAGATTTCACGTTTTTCTTTTTCTGTCCATCTCAGAAGGGTTGTCCTTCAGTTTCACCTGGGCTTCCCCTTGGAAGGCCTAGTGAATGGTCTCAGGTGATTGTGTCCGGAGGATAAGGGGAGTATGACAGCCACCTGCCCTTTCTTTTAGGGCTTACAGGAACACATCTACCAAGCAAGGGACTTCTTGCCAATGTGGAACATACCTTATAGCACAACCTCAGGGCATTATTATTTCTCTGGCTCTTTCCTCATCTTTTCAAAAACTTTATGTATTAGCTTACATTTCTATGACTCATGATGCGAAAGAACAGGTCATGTTAGAAGAGGAAAAGGGTGAGAAGAAATTCTGACCTACCTCAGTACACAAGGTGAATAGGATTAACTACATCATAAATTGTAAAAGTAAGAACAATAGACGTCGAAAGTTTTCTTTCTAAATGCATAGCACAAGTAAGGGGCTGGGAGAACAAATGTAGCTTCCTTAACTCTGTGGCCTGGAAGCCGCACGTTTCAGCACACATGCTTATGTCATTCTTTTCTCTTGATGGTAAATGAATGCTTCAATAAAATATATAACTCAAGGGAGTTGAGAAAAGGAAATTAAGACTGTTAGAAAAGGACATTAATATTTACTGGTAACACTGAAATCAGAATTATATATTAAAATGAAGTTTCTAAACTAGTTTCCATATTTGACTAGAACAAAAACAGCTTCTTTGCAAGACAATACCACACATTTCCAGAGCTCGTCCAGGATTCGTAACAGCTGCATGTTTTGTTGTTTAGAATCAGTATTTTGGTCACTGCGTAAATCAATACTTTAAAAAATTGTTTCTATTAAGCAACATAATAAAACAAATGCTCATTTTTTTTTGCATATCCAAAGGCCTTGAGGAATTTTAAGCAAAAATAGAAGGAAGGAAAATTATAATAAACAATGGCAATATGTTCATTTCACATATTTTGAGGTCCACCTGTTTAAATGTTTCTAAAGCCATTAAACACATCTGTTATTTTTTTCCCTTAGATAAACAAATTATATGAAAAAGTAAATATACGGTTTCTAAAGCCAGTTCAGATGGGATTTTGGGGCACTTTACCTCCCTGTGTGCTTCATTTTCATCCTCTATAAGAATAGGTTTCTCTCATTTACCTCTCTGAGTCCTGTGAAGTGTTCTTGGTCCATGTAATGCAAGGACAAGGCACAGAGCCATCCCCCAGTTGATAATGGGCGTGATCATTAGAGCGGGAGCAGCAGGTGGGGGTGGTTCTCCGTGCGGGCATTCATGCATATTTCCTCTTTTCATATCTTCAGTCTTGTGGAGTCTCAACAGGCTGCAGCTTCTCTCACTAGAATATTCAAAAGAGCATTTAAAATTAGGAGATGGTCTCTAACGTGCCTTGTAGCTCTAATATTCTGGGAATCTTTGAGGCTGTATCCTATACATTGTTATTTTTGTTTTATTTCTATATAACTATTACCTGCCTTCTACCTGTAAAGATATTCCACAATCAGGAACACATCGCTTTTTTAGGTATAAAGCAAGACTCCTGAATGGCATTCTTGCATTAGCATTTATAAGCGTCACCTTGATACTAATCGCGTTAAACTTCTGTGGGGAACGTTCTATTTAATATCACTGTATCATCTACATGGGACTCTGTTCTATGGGCAGCTTCTCTTCTGAAGAAGACATTGCAGAGCAGTTCTCATTATTTCACTTTGTCCCTCCCCTCAAGAAAGAAGACCTGGCCCGGCATAGTGGCTCACGCCTATAATCCTAGCATTTTGGGAGGCCATGGCAGGCGGATTACTTGAGGCCAGGAGTTCAAAACCAGCCTGGCCAACATGATGAAACCCCGCTCTGCTAAAAATACAAAAGAAATTAGCCGGGCATGGCGGCGGGCACCTGTAATCCCAGCTACTTAGGAGGCCGAGGCAGGAGAATCACTTGAACCCAGGAGGCGGAAGTTGCAGTGAGCCGAGATGGCGCCACTGCACTCCAGCCTGGACAACAGAGGGAGATTACGTCTCAAAAAAAAAAAAAAAGACCTACTCTAACCAGCATTAGTGAGAAATGGGTATTTTACCGAATATATCTTAAAGAAACATGAATGATAGCGAATGATAGAAGGGTACAACACTAATAACACAGCAATTCACCTCCCTTCAAAAATAAAACTACCCTTTAGATATTATATCGGTCTGGACCCTCTGAGAAGCTGATATAAGCACAGGATTACACATGCAAGGATGTTATTAAGAAAACTACTGCAAAAGGAAAACGGTGAAGGAGCCAGAGGGGTCTGCGAGAAAACATCTTAGGCTGCTTTCCAGTCTATGGAAGGTTCAGCAAAGCTACTGGAAGTCCACGAGTCAACCTCAGGCATCAGAGGAGCTCATGGCTCCCAGGACAGGCATCCCTGCTTCCAATTCAGTCATTGGCTGGAGAGCAGCCCATGGGAATGTGGTTACAGCACAAGTGCACGATGGATTTTAGCTCAGTGGCCAGGCTCTTGGTCACTAACTCCTCTGTCAGTGGAGATCTGCAGGGTGTAGTCTCTTGGCCAAATCTCTCTTCCCAAACTCTGTTCTGGTATCCACTGCAAATTCCACCCACTGTCCCACTGAACTGCCCTTTAGTCTAGTATTTCAAACATCACACACTCAAGAATTCTCCCTTCAGAGCTTTTCTGTTTTCTTTTCTTTTCTTTTCTTTTTCTTTCTTTCTTTCTTTTTTTTTTTTTTTTTTTTTTTTTTGACAGAGTCTCGCTCTATCACCCAGGCTGGAGTGCAGTGGCACCATCTCAGCTCACGGCAACTTCTGCCTCCCGGGTTCAAGTGATTCTCCTGCCTCAGCCTCCCGAGTAGCTGGGATTGCAGGTGCCCGCCACCACGCCCAGCTAATTTTTGTATTTTTAGTAGAGATGGGGTTTCACCATGTTGGTCAGTCTGGTCTCGAACTCCTGACCTCACTATCTGCCCGCCTCGACCTCCCAAAGTGCTAGGATTACATGCATGAGCCACTGCGCCCAGACCCCTTCAGAGCTTTTCTACACCTCTTCCTTTCTCTTGTCTCTTCTACAGGCTTATCCAAAGTTGCATCATCCATCATTATTCTCGGGCATATTAAAGCCGTGACTTTGCTTGCCCTCAGGAAATTAAACATCTGTCAGTCACCAGGAGTCACAATCCACAGAAGACAGTGAGTAGGAGGATGCCACAGAACCCATCGTGTTTCCTGCCGTATTAAAGCAGGGCTGTGCTGTCATCAGCCTGCGATGTGCCATTTATTATGCAGCACCCCATCATCTGGCTTCTGTCTCAACCAACATACTGAAACTGCTTCATAAAGTCATCAGTGTATTTTTAATTGCCAAGTTGATTGGACATTTCACAGCCATTATTCCTGACTTTTATAAGCATTTGACATGACTGATCATTCATTTCTTGAAATTCTGTTTTTTCCAGACGGCCGTGATAAACACTCTGAACATTGTTCTTGCGCTTTCACGGCTATCCCATTTCTTTTTTTTCTAATGCCTTTTGTTCCTCCCCATTCCTTGAGTATGGGTGTTCCCCAGACCTGTTGCTTCAGTCGTGTGGTCTAAATACATACTTTCCCTAGGAACTGTATTCTCTAATGTAGAAGAATAATGTTCCTTTACTTATGTATGTTGTATTGATCAAGCTTTTAGTATGACAACATATACTATATTAAGTTCTGAGGATAATATCACAGGGAAAAATCTCTGGCTTTAAGGAATATATTGTCCAATGGGAGAAACATAAAAGCAAGCAAGCAATTACAAGGCAATGAACTACTGTGATGATGGGGATGTACAGGGTTCAGGGCACACACAGGAGGATAGCTAACTTACACTTGGGAAATTAGAGAAGATTCTCATAGGAAAAAAATCACCAATGTGTCATCATAATAATAACAGAAGCAGTAGGGCATTCCAAGCCAAGACAGCACTGTGCTTGAGGAGCTGTAATTCAGCTACATAGTTCAGTAGATCAGCTATTGAATCAAGGACAATAGGAGAGGTTGGGTCACACAGATGCTGAACAATCAACCTACTGGGATGAAGGACATTGTGTGCACCACTGCAGCCTTTGGTTCTCACGCCGACAGCCCTGAGGATTCACAGACTTCAAAGAAGAGCATGACTTAATGTTTCAGAAGGTTTTTGGAAGCTCACTCCATACAAAAGAAGGATTAGAAGTAGGATATACAGTTAGCAATCAGCACCCACGGGCTCTGCATCCATGGGTTCAACCACGTGCAGATTGAAAAGGCAGTTAGGCCTATGATCATTGCATCTCTACTGAAAAATGTACAGACTTGATGTTATTCCCCAAACGATACAGTAAAACAACTGTTTCCATAGCATTTACATCACGTTAGGTATTATAGGCAGTCTAGAGATGGTTTAAGTACACGGAGTATGTGTGTCAGTGACATGCAAACAAGACACCGTTTTGTATAAGGGACTTGAGCATCTGTGGATTTTGGTAAAAAAATTCATGGGGTTCCTGGAAGCAATCCCTAGCAGATACCAAGGGATGACTGAATTTGAGATAAGAACAATATCTAAGAACTCTCCAGCTCAGTTTGATAAAATATTACTTAAGCCTACTATGTACCAAGCACTTTAAAGTGCTGAGTGTTAAAGGCTTGCTTAAGAGTAATGTGTATAGTAAAATCCCATTAAATCAAAGCCAAACATCAAAGAAAAACAAAAAAGAACTCTAATGTTCTTTTAAGTATGTGTGTAACCTATGTTTATACATGTAGTATTATTCTGGAGTAAACTACTGTAACTGGGCTGGGTGTGGTGGCTCGGGCCCATAATCCTGGCACGTTGGGAGGCCAGGGCGGGTGGATCACGAAGTCAAGAGATCGAGACCATCCTGGCCAACATGGTGAAACCTGGTCTCTACTAAAAACACAAAAATTATCTGTGTGTGGTGGTGCACGCCTGTAGTCCCAGCTACTCGGGAGGCTGAGGCAGGAGAATCGCTTGAACCTGGGAGGTGGAGGTTGCAGTGAGCTGAGATTGTGCTGTTGCACTCCAGCCTGGGTGACAGAGTGAGACTCCATCTCAAAAAAAAAAACTGCGTAACTCAGTTACCCAAACCAAAAATGCTTCACTCTTTAGTTTCCTCTTCCTCATATCCAGTTATCCCATCTGTTCCAATTCTAAAGGAGCCCTTGTATACGCTTATTTTTCTATCTGCATTGCCACCGTCCCAATCTACACCACCACCACCTCTTGCCTAACCTCTGCCATTAGTGTCTTAACTTGCTCTTGGGTTTCTATGCTTCTTCCCCTATGAGCTCTTCTCCACCTGGCAGACAGAATAATCTTCATGTGAGTGAGTCCGACTGTATCATTCCGCACCTGAAATCCTCCAATGACTTCTCACTGCATTTAAGATGAAGTGAAACTCTGTCCCACGCCCTATAAGGCCTCATGTAATCTGACCCTGCACACTTCTTTACTCTCTTCTTATGCTGTTCTGCTCCACCCACTTCTCCAACTATATGCACTCAATGATTCAGCAGTTTTTAGAATAGGCTGTGATATTCTCACATATTTCTATCTATAAGATACATACTTTTCACCGCCTCCACCGTTCCACCCTGATCCATAACACCACCATTTCGTGACTGGCTACTCAATTTCTTATCTGGGCTTCCTGCTTCTGTTTTTCCGTACAGCAGCCAAAGTGACTCTGTCAAAATGTAAACCAAATTATGTTGCTCTCCTGCTAAAATCCTTCAATAGCATCTCATCACATTTAAAATAAAATTCAATACCCTGACCCTAATTAACCAAACCTCACATACCTAACTGGCTCCTCCCTAGCCTCCGCTTCCTCCTGTGGCCCCCATTCCACCTCGCCACAGCCACCTGGACTCCCCACTGTTCTTCCAACATAGCAATGCACCTAAGATCCCCACTGCTCCCCTGCCAGGAGCCCTCTGTCCCGAGACATCTTTGGGGCTCTTGCCTTCATGTCAATTTTCTATTCAAATAGCATCTCCTTAAAAAGACCTTCCCTGGCCACTCCCACATCCTTACACTTCCCCTAGTCACTACCTTTTTTTAAAAAAAAAGAACTTTATTGAGGCTGGGCGTGGTGGCTCTCGCCTGTAATCTCAGCACTTTGGGAGGCTGTGGCGGGCAGATCACTTGAGGACAGGAGATCAAGACCAGCTTGGCCAACATGGTAAAATCCCATCTCTACTAAAAATACAAAAATTAGCCAAGCGCAGTAACGCACACCTGTAGTACCAGCTACTTGGGAGGCGGAGGCAGGAGAATTGCTTGAACCAGGGAGGCAGAGGTTGCAGTGGGCCGAGATCATGCCACTGCACTCCAGCCTGGGCAACAGAGCAAGACACTGTCTCAAAAAGAAAAATAAAAAATAAAAAGACCTTTATTGAGATATAATTTACATATCATAAAATTCATCTAATTTTCAATTCAATGATTTTAGTATGATTCAGTGATTTTAGTAAACTTGCTTAGTCTGCAACCATCACCATAATCCAGTTTTAGAACATTTCCATCTTTCCAGTAAGTTCCCTCAGGCCAGTCAGCAGTGAATCCCCATTCCCTCTCTCAGCCCTGGGTAAATGAAACTGACCCAGTGGTCTCATAGATATTTTCTGATAAATATAGGAATTGACCCTTCTAATCTTAAAGCTTGAAACTTATATTTGTTTAATCTGAGTTCCTCCCTCAGAAAATGACCATCAGGTCTCTCAAAAAAAAGTATCAAACAACTGAAACTCACCAGATCATCACATCCAGACAATGAGATGCCAGACCCCTCATTCACCGTGATGGCTTCCTTGCGTCTCCCTAGTTCCTGTTTTCTTACACACAGTTGCATTTTTTTTCCCTGTTATATAAACTCCTGGTTTTAGCAGGTCAGGGAGGTGGATTTGAGAGTGAGTTTCCATCTCCTCAGCTGCAGCACCTGATTAAAGATTCTTCCTTGGCAATACTCGTCGTCTCAATCATTGGCTTTCTGTGCAGCGAGTAGCAGGACCTTGACCGAACCCCTGGTGTTTCGGTAACATAAACACTAATCTACCTTCTTTTTCCATAGATTTGCCTTTTCTAAACATCCCGTATGAACAGAATGGTTAAAATATGTGGTCTTTGAAACCTGTCTTCTTGATATATTATACTTAAAATAATGCGTTCAACTAATTCTATTGAACATTCACTCTATGCCATATATATAGTAATATTACATATATATAATCCCATGCTCTAGTGAGGAGAATAGAGTGAACAAATCATCATACAAACAATGTCAAATTTCATGGAAGTTTCATGATGCTCTGGGAGCATGGCTGGGAGTGGGGAAGGCTTGCCTGTGGAGCAGTATTTGACTGTGACTGAAGAATAGCAGTTAGCTAGGCAAAGGGCAAGTGTTTCAGATAGAGGGGTCAGGACATGCCTAATAATAGAAGGGAGTGTGTTTAACACGACTGCTGGAGAAAGTACTTGGCTGGAGCTCTGAGAGGGAAAGAAGGACGGTGGAGACAAGGCTTTCCCATCACTTTCTATCCCTGTATGTATGTTATTTCACTATTCTCTCAAAAGTTATCACTAGCTGACATTGCAGTGTGTATATACTGTTTGCATCCTTCATTACAACATAAACTTATTGAGAGTATAAACTTCGATTTGTTTTATTACTATTATTCCAATATTTAGAAGAGGGTTTGACATAATAAGCATTCAATAAATACTTGTTGAATGAAAAAATCGAATAAGAGATTGGGGAGCCCTAATAATTAACACATTAAGAATGCAGACATTTGTTAATTAGAATAAATTAAGTAGCTTCTGAGAGCCGTCTTACGCAACATCTTAATACAGCTAAGCTATGTTCAGATGAGAGGAATTCGGTGAAATAATGAATTTGGGGGGGAAATACTAGCAGATTTACTTTTTAACTAATAATAGACTGGAAATATTTAAAGTATAATGAACTACTTAACATTGTTATATGTTAATAACTTCTTTAAATTGATCAATGATTTTTATTAGTGATATCTTTTGAATACTAATTTCATTCTTTTTTGACCTCATAGATTAATTTCATAAATGCAATCAGCTGAATGTAACTTAATAAAGATGTGGCTTCCAACATTTAAATGTTGTCAGGAAGAAAAACAATGACTTTCTTAGTTATTTTCATAAAACAAGATGACTTTCTGTGGAGTAATTCTCATAAGAGAGTAAGTACAGGGTGAATAAAATATGCTAGAAACATGTATCTATTTCAAAAGTATATTTAAATAGGATTTTTTTAATAATAAGCCACATTTTAGGTCCATGGATTTCAATACACTTTTTCTTTAGAAAAAAAATCAAATTTTTATGACTTCATTTAGTTTTAATAAAAATATTTTATTTAATAAAATTATATTGTATAAGGTCATTCATACTATATTGATGATTGCTCCAATTATGAAACCTAGCCAAATTTAGACAGGTTTCAAATAAATCAGTGCTTTTAAAAAAGTAAGCCCCAATTGTACATTGTGTTATAAACTGAAAGTCTTATGTTATGGAAACAAAGATGTTACTTCTCAAAAACAATGTAATTATCATTTCAAGGTGGCAAGTCAATCTAGAAATCAGATTCCATTGAGATGCTGTAAAAGTTCTGTTTATCACAAAATAAGTCAACAGATTCAAAATCGTCTCTAAACAACAGATCGATAAAAATGCCTAAAAATATCATTTAATTTATTCCAAAGTATTTCCTGAGGACATTCTTTTCAGGAAAGGCTGCTTGCTTTAGGATTCCAAACAAACGAAGCCCAGAAGCTTCCCGGAAAGCCCTGAAGGTGCTCCTGGAAGAATGTGCTCTCTGCAGCTGTGTAAACAATGATGTTGACGCAGAATTGGAAATGCCCATTTTTGAAAGGGACCTGCAACCAACCATTTGAAACCAGCACGTTGCCTGATATTCCCACTAAATGTCTAATCAGTAAATGTTAGTAAGAAAAATATTTTCCTCCAAAGGACAAGTTAGAGCTTTGTATAGTGTCAGTAGTTAAAAGTTTTTCTGTATAACCACAAATCATATCGTCCCCAACTATCAAATCTACTTTTACCCCTTAGGGTCATTCAGGAAGAAAAATAAGCTCACCTTGGGGACGGACTAGTCACTGGAGGTAAAGAAGAGAATGGAATCTAGGGTGGCTCTTAGACTTACAGCTTGTATTTATATGAGACTGCGCATGGTAAATAAGGTTTTAAGTGGCATGTGTTATAGTTGTCAAATTTGTAGAAACATACACATTGATGCATTATAATTATTCTGCCTTTAAACAAAGTGCTTAATACCACATTTAAATTGCAAATGTTGACTTCAATCGAATCTCCTGATGTTAATAAAATATTAGAAACTCTATCAAATATAATTCTTATGATTATGATAATACAGTTTTTTAGAGGCCAAATTTTCTTCAGTTCCAAGAATCCTACAGCACGTGTATGAGGAATATTTCTATCTTAATAGATACCTTTGTGTCCAGCAGTAGAAAAGTATCCACATGCCACTTTGCAGTAAGTATAAAATAAAAATATAAAGATGCAAACACTTCACACAATGCAATGTCCTTCCTTGATTTTTTGTGAAGAAAACTATACATGTGTTTGTGGACTAGCTGTGTATATAATCAGGTCCTAATATTAACAGAAAACAAAAGAACTGAGGTGCAAACAGGGAAAAGGGAAAACAGACAATGCAAGAAAAAGTTGAGGATGACAGAAGCAGGGAAGGCTGTCCAAAGTGACACAAAAGTGATAGCATGGCTCAGTGAGAATGCTGAGAACTTCAGACTTTAAAAACAGAGAAAGCCTCTTCTGGAAGTATACAACTTGAGTATCTCTGAGAGTGTGTGGGTGAATGTGTTTGTGTGTCATGATAGTGAATGAGGAGAGTTCACACACAAAAATTTGAAATTAATTGTTCCTAAAGTATGTATTAGCCTGCTATTGCTGCCATAATAAATTAACACAACACCTATTTATTATCTCATAGGTTCCATGAGTTGGAAGTCTGAGTACAGCATGGCTTGACTGGGTTCTCTATATAGGGGCACACAAGGTGCAAGTCAAGCTGTCAGCTGGCCTGGGCTCTTCTTTGGAGCCTCTGAGGGAGAACCTGCTTCCAGGCTCATTTAGATTGTTGGCAGAATTCAGCTCCATGTTGCTACAGGAGTGAGTGTTCTCATGATTTTGCCAGCTATTGGCTCAGCTTTTGAAGGCACCCATATTCTGTGGCTTTTGGCCCCCTTTATCTTAAATGCCAGTAATGACATCTCCAACCTTTTCACTTATAATCTCTGATTTTCTCTTCTACCCTCCTCTTCCGACGTTTAAAGAGCTCATGAGATTAGATCCAGCTCACCTGCATAATCTAGGTTAATCTCCCTATCTTAAAGTCAACTGAGGAGTAACATTAATTACATCTGCAAAGCCTGTTTGCCATGTAACATAACAGGATGTAACGCTAGGTGGCTGAGATCACGACGACCAAAGTTCTGCCTACCACAAGGTAGCAATACAATATGTTAAAGATAAATCAGCATGTTGGTCAAAGGATGCAAAATGCCATCTAGACAGTAGGGACAGGTCTAAGAGATCTATTGTACCCCATGGTGATATACTTTAAAATTGCTGAAAGAGTAGGCTTTAAGTGGTCTCACCACAGATAAAAAAATAAGTATGTGTTTAGCTAGATTTATCCATTTCACAATATATATGTATTTCAAAACCTCATGTTAGGCCAGGTGCAGCGGTTCACATCTGTAATCCCAGGGCTTTTGGGAGGCCAAGGCAGGAGGATTGCTGAGCCCAGGAGTTTGAGACCAGCCTGGGAAATATAGGGAGACTTCTATAAGAGGGCTCTACAAATAAATAAATAATTCAGGCACGGTGGTGCATGCCTGGATGGCCCCAGCTACTTGGAAGGTTGAGACAGGAGAATCGCTTAAGCCCAGCAAGCAGAGGCTGCAGTGAGCGGAGATCATGCCACTGCACTCCAGCCTCATTGACAGAGCAAGACTCTGTCTCAAAATAAAAAAAAAAAAAAGGAAAAACCACACACTGTGTTGAATGCCATAAATGATACAATTATTTGTCAATTGCAGTAAATAAAGCACATATGTATTAAAAAAAGGCAAATCAACAGTGCAAGAGAAGTGACTAAGAAGGGACACAAACATAGAGGCAAGGTAGGACAGTGAATAAGAAAGGGAAAAAGCAAGACTGACCTGGACTCAAGTGCTGCCTGGGCCACTTATTATCCATGGGACTCTGAGCAAGTTATGCAACTTCTGTGAGACAGTTTTCTCATGTATAAATAAAGAATAATGAGAACTATCTCACAGGACTATTGAACACCGAACAATAAAAGCTCAAGAAATAATAAATATTATATTGCTAGGTATGCCTTCTGGTTGCCTGACTGCTCTTCACTGGAGGCACAAAGCTATCTTTTACACTTTTGCTTATAATATTCAGAGAACTGAAGCATACTTTTATTTGACTTGGATTATCTGGATAAATTGTCTTAGATAGCTATTTGGTTTGAAACGTATAGAAAGAATCATTTTCTTACTTGTGGTTTTATTGTTTCCTAGTCTCCTAAGATCATGGTATGGTAAAAGATCAACTATAGATATGGGCAGCATGAAGTAGCAAATAAAAATTGACTTGGATAGATTTAGATTTCAGTTCTAGCATACAATTTTTTTCCCAGTATGTTTGTAAAACTGACTTATTTTCTGAGCCTCACACTTCATATCTTTAAGATGGAAATAACCAAGCCTCAGTGAGTGTAAAATCTGTTAATATATATAAAAGCATTTATAGTCTTAAAAGTGCTATAAAACACTGTTGTTATGATGTTGATAATGGTGGTGGCGATGGTACACCTTATCCATGTATCAATAGTTGGGACTAAAGAATACAATTTTTCTTCGGCGGGGGACAGAATTTCGCTCTTGTTGCCCAGGCTGGAGTGCAATGGCTCAATTGTGGCTCACTGCAACCTCTGCCTCCTGGGTTCTAGTGATTCTCCTGCCTCAGCCTCCCGAGTAGCTGGGATTACAGGCATGTGCCACCACTCATTTTGTATTTTTAGTAGAGACAGGGTTTCTCCATGTTGGTCAGGCTGGTCTCTAACTCCCGACCTCAGGTGATCCGCCCTCCTCAGCCTCCCAAAGTGCTGGGATTACAGGCATTAGCCACCGCACCTGGCCCAGAATACAATATTTAAATTGAAAAATTCACTGCATTTAAGAGCATACTCAAAACTGTGAAAGGAAAGATGGACATACTTGAAAATATTGCAACAGAAACTATCCAAACTGAAGCAAGGTGAGAAAAAAAGACTAAAAATAAGATACAAAATCAGTGAACAGTAGAAAAACAGCCAGCAATCTAACATACATGCAAGTAGAGTCCAAGAGAAAGCAAGAGCAGGATGGGGAGGAAGGAGGTAGGAAAATACTTAAAATAGCTAAACATTTTACTGGTTTAATGAAAGCTATACACTCACCAATCAGCTGACTAAAATCAGGACAAACCACAAAGAGAAGCACCACAAGCTATATAAAAATGAAACTACTGTAAACTAGTGATGAAGAAAAAACTTTAAAACAACTGGAGAAAAAATACATACTACACACAGGGGAACAAAAATGAGAATGACTGAAGCTTATCAGAAATGAAGCAAAAACAAGGTGTTAGAATTTTACTTTAAAAATTTAAAAACTGTCAACCTAGAACTGTAAATTCAGCAAACAGCAAAACCATCATTCAAAAATAAGGATAAACTTTTTAGAAAAAAAAAGCTGGGGTAATTTGTCAACAGCAGACTTACACTACAATAAATGCAGAAATAAGTTATTTATAATAAAAGAAAATAATATCAAATAGATACTTGGATTTAAAATATGCAAAAAAGATAGAACACAAGAATGCTACCTTGGGGGTAAATTCAATTTTTTTTCTCATTTAAAAAAATTATTTAGAATAAAATTAACAGTTTAAAACAAGAAGAAAATGTAATGTGAAATTTATAACATATGCAGAAATAAAATGCATGGTAATTCTCCAAAAAAGAGAAAAATGGACACATACTGTTTTAAGTTTCTTATATTATTTTCAAAATGGATAATATGATTTGAAGGTACATTGTGATAAATTAAAAATGGACAGGAGACAGAAAGTACACTGTTTAACGGTCTTATATGCAAAGTGGTAAAATATTATTTGAAAGTATATTGTTATGAGTTAAAGATTGTAAACCCATAAACAACATCTATAAAATAAAATAAAGAGCTGTAGCTAATAAGGCCATAGTGTGCAAACATTAAATAATATTCAATTAACATGGAAAAAGGTGGAAACCCAAAAGAAATAAGAAAAATATGGAACAAATAGAAAATGAATAGCAAGATGGTAGATTTAAACCCTACTATGCCCATAATTACATTAAAGGTAAATAGTCTAAATACTAAATTTTAAAACATAGACTGTTTTTTCATAGACACAACAACATTCCATCTAAAAGAAATTCACTTTAAAAGTAACAGGAAGAACAAAAATGTACTACATAAGTTCTAATAATAAGAAATCTACTGTGGGCATATTAAATCAGGAAAAAGAGGGATGCCAGGGTACAGAAAGCCATTTTATAATGGTGTTAATGCATCAAGAGGACACAAGAATCCTAAATGCAAGCATCACATAACAGCTTCAAAATATATGAGACAACATTTGATATAAATGAAAATAAAAATAGACAAATCCAAAATTATAGCTAGAGAGGGAAGAGAAGGCAGAAAAAAAAAGTTTATAAGAATTAATTTTTTTTATGCTTTCCAGCTTCCTTCTCGCATAAGTTTTCAAGATTTTGTAGTTCCATTGACGTACATGGTATCTCTTCTCAGAGCAGATCTTCAAGCCAAGAGCAACTTAGGCAGAGGTGATTCTGGCTACAAAGAGCTTTCAGGAGATTGGTGGGCTAGAATTTCTTAACTTTATCTCGGTTTGCCATACTAAATCTTAGGGTCCTTTTCCTTTACAGTCAGTTAGTTGCTCAGCCATTGCCAAACTGAATCGATGGAATTATGCATTTAACAGGTACTGAAACTACACAATCAATGCAATTAGTTTTGATGTTTTCTCCTTTGTGTAGCTGACTTCAGACATACAAGATATATTTTAACATCACCACAGTGGCTTTCTAATTTTCCACCTGCATCTTGAGTGGAGATTTTAAAACATAAAGCTTATCTTTTGGTTTTCCTTTCTGTATGTTTTCCAGCACAGCCAAAAGCAAGCCTTCTACCATATCATACAGTAGAAAGTAAAGAGAAATTAGACTATGTCTTCTCTGCTGCATTGCTCCTTTGCCATTGTTTTTCTGTGGACAGCTGCATTCCTCTGCAAATTCAGCTACTCCTGGATAGACTCTCACAATTCCAGCCTTATGGAACTTCAGTAATTCTATTTCCACATGCTGTCACTGCAGCTCTGAGTAGCTCAACATCCCCTGTGTCTTTCCTCAACCCTGCTTCACTTCTGTAAGTAGTCCCTCTATTACGTTCTGTTTATTTGAACTATTTGAGTGAATCCAGTCTCCTGTTGTAGCCATGACTGACAATCAGTTGGCATCAGGAGTTGGTATTCTCAAGATGGAATTTGCATCTGAGTCACTCATATATTAAATAAGTAAATAAATAACTTCCTTGTTGAGGAAGTCAGCACTGACAATTTGTGGCATGCAGTGACTTCTTTACTAGTCAGATTATTGGCGGAAGCAAGGAATGAGATGCGGATAGAGGGCGAGTCTTTGATGATGAAGGGGCTGTTGAGTTTGATAACTGGCCAGGCCAACAAAGGTGATTTAACAGCAGAATCTAGATAGGATGCTTTTGGAAGGATCATCCCTATGGTGTAGAGCAGAATAGAGAATTACAAGATATAAAATGTGAAAGGGCTGGGCACAGTGGCTCACGCCTGTAATCCCAGCACTTTGGGAGGCCTAGGCAGGCGGATCATGAGGTCAGGAGATTGAGACCATCCTGGCCATCATGGTGAAACCCCATCTCTACAAAAAACACAAAAATTAGCTGGGCATGGTGGTGTGTGCCTATAATCCCAGCTACTTTGGAGGCTGAGGCAGGAGAATGGCGTGAACCCGGGAGGCAGAGGTTGCACTGAGCTGAGATCGGGCCACTGCACTCCAGCCTGGGCGACAGAGTGAGACTGTCTCAAAAAAAAAAAAAAAAAAGTGAAAGGCTTTAGTATTTTTGCTATATTGTTAATTGAAACAATTCAACAGCCTTTTTCAGCATCAGCTATATATATATATATAGTCAATGGCCCTTTGATATTTAGCTACACGTTAGATAAAAAGGATAAGAATATATTTACAAGAACATGTGAAAACAGTACATTTTTTCTCACAGTCTGTGTGACGTTTTATCTTTTTCACATTTTTCACATGAAAATAGTCTTTAATCCAAATTTTGCGGGTAGATAATCACATTTATATAATTTTGCATTGTCATTTTGCCTCATAGATGTAAAAGGAATGAATAAAAAATAATTTTTAGGTCTCTTTTAATACCAAATAATTATGAACTATAATTTTTTTCACCATATAATTGGTACAGTAACTCCCAAGTTAGAAGTTAGAGATATAGTTTCTAGGACTAGCCAAACTTGCTTATTTGTTAAGACATTTTCCTCAAACTTAATAAATTCAAATGGATGAAAAAATGTGTGGGGGATTTCGATTTCCACAAATATGACTGACTACGGATCTTGCATCTCTCTTGATTTTTATTCATATAACAAATCAAAATGCTAAGTTGGGACACACAAATGGGCATGCATAACGTGTAAAGCATGGATGAGCCTGCATGAAGGTGAAGGAAGTCCATGTGGGCAGGACCTAGGCAGGAGCACAGCACAGGGAGGAAAGCTAGCATTGAAGCCACCAGACTCCCTGGGACCACACCCAGTGTCCTGTGGCCTAGAGTTCAAACCTGAGACCATCTGCATAAAGCCAGACCCCTGAGAATGGAAAAACAATCTACCTAACTCCTGTCTCAATTTTCATAAAGATGGAGAAAAAGTAAAAACTTCACCCCTGTTAATGTGGTACCCACTGGGCTGCCATGGTTGGGAACCTAAGCCCATACTGTTTATGCGAACCTCAATACACAAGCCAAAATTGTACTATAAAGAGGACCTGCGTCTACAGTGCTCAAAGGGATCTAGAAGAAACAAGCGCACATCCTACGAAGGAACATTCAGACTGACAGCTAGCTGAGCCACAAAAACAATGAGCAAAGCAAGAACACAGTGAAACGCCCTCAATGTGTTCAGAGAAAATAATGGGCAATGGAGAATAGTTTATACGGCTAAAGTATCTTTCGAGAATGAGGACAAAATAAAGACAAATGAGCAGATTTTGAAAGAGTTTACTTCTAAATAAGCCTCATAAAACAGCTTCTAAGGTTGGGCTTCAAAAACAAACAAAGAATAAGGTCCCATAAGGAAGGTCTGAAATGTATCAAGGAAGGGAGACAAGGAACACAGAGGAGATCTGACTCTTGCTTTTGTTAATATCAAACAATGTCTAATTTGTGGGTTATAAAAGCAAGGCAGAAATTTTAAAAATACAACTGCAAGTGTGATTTGAAAGGAATGATGAGAAATAAATCATTCTTAGGTCCTTGAATCTGAGGGTGAAGAAAGTAAAGACACTGATTAACTTTAGGACTTACGTTTTATACACACATTCAAATTTTAAGGGTGACTATTAAAATAGTATAACAAAGGACATAGCTTCCAAACAGTAATGGAGATGTAAATTAAATACTATCTTCAAAAGGAGCCATGAGGAAGGGGAATGAGGTGACAAGAAATACAGGAAAAGCAAGGCACATAGAAGTTTCAGTAATACTCATAACCAAGACTCATATACATAGTGCTCTGAATATATAGTGCTCTGAATTTTCCAGACAATGTTTGACATGTGTTAAATAAACCAATTCATTTAATGCTCACAGTGAACTTGTGAGGTGGGTACTATGCCGTTTTCTAGAGAATTTGTCTTACTGGATTGGAAAATAAAAACCTGTCCACTTAGAAGAGACTAACATGAGATCTATGTTGTTGATTCATTTTCCCATGTCTGTGATGTGATGGACATTTGGGTTGTCTCTCTTCTGGGGCTATGATGAATCAAGCTGCTGTGACCATTTCTAGGCAAGTATTTTTGTGAACCAGGTTTCAATTCTTTGGCACAAATATCTAAGCCTAAGAAACTGCCAAACAATTCTCCTAAGTGGTCGCACCGTTTTATAAAGCTGTTCAGCAGTATATGAGAAGTTTTGTTGCCCCATATTTTTGCCAAATCTTATTACTATTGGGTTTTAAATTGTAATCATTTTAGTGTGTGAATGGATAAATTGCTGTGATTTTAATTTGCATTTTCCTGATAACTGATGGTGTTGAGCAGCTTTTAATCTGCTTGTGGGTCATGTATTTTCTATTTTCAAATGTATCTCAATCTTTTCCATATTTGCAATTTTTCTTTATATTGTTATTATTTAATTGCAAAAATTATTTATACCTTTTGGATACAAGTTCTTTGTCAGACATATATTTTACAAATAATGTCTCCCAGTTGGTGGTTTGAATTTTCTTATGAATGTGAACTTTAAATATTTATATAAGAACATAAAGAATATGTCATATTTAGAGATAAATTTAAGAAAATAGGTGGAAAATGTCCACACTGAAAACTAAAACATTGCTGAGAAAATTAAATTTCTAATAAATGGTAAGGTATACTTTGTGATTGGATTGGAAAACTCACTATTTTTAAATATTAATTTTCCCCAAATTAATGCAATAGATTCAATGCAATTCCAATCAAAATATCAGCAGGATTTTTGTGTGGAATTTGGCAAGGTGATTCTAATATTTAAATGGAAACACAAACAATGATAGAATAGCTAGAATCTTATTTTTTAAGTAACACATTTCCATCTTTATTAATTTTATTTATAAAAATTCCATTCAGTGTATTAACTATATTCTTGGAACAATATTCTTTGATTAAATTAATTAAAAACTATTTTATGGGAGCTCTATGGAGGTATGCGTTCTTTAACAGATGGAGCTAAAGGGCATAAAAGTTCAAGCAGCCGATAACTGGGAATTGAATAACTTATGGATGTTTTGTTGAAGCTAATGTACAGTGAATTACACCTTTGTGTAAATGTAAAATTATTTTTATGAATATAATATTATACTATTTTGTCATTTTTTTTGAGATGGAGTTTTGCTTTTATTGACCAGGCTGAAGTGCAATGGTGCAGTCTAGGCTCACTACAACCTCAACCTCCTGGGTTCAAGTGATTCTCCTGCCTCAGCCTCCCAAGTAGCCAGGATTACAGATGCCTGCCACCATGCCCGAATAACTTTTGTATTTTTTAGTAGAGATGGGGTCTCACCATATTGGTCAGGCTGGTCTCAAACTCCTGACCTCAAGTGATCCACCCATCTCGGCCTCCCAAAGTGCTGGGATTACAGGCGTAAGCCAACACACCCGGCCTATTTTGTCATTTTTAACTTTAGCTTTTATTTAATATTCTTATTGAAACAATGTGATTTAATTATCAAATATTTATATAGCTATATAAAACCAAATCAGACCTGGCCCCACAGCTCCTCTTCATACTGCTGATGATCGCCATGTACAATTCTGGGAGGAGGGAAAAGAGATTAGAGACAATGAATGCTTTTCCTTTTGCTCAATATCGTTGATCAAATAATTTGTCTGCGCCCATATAACAGGCCTGAGAAAATGGTGTAGTTTTATTAGAGGTAACTTTCCAGAATCAATAACTTTGCTAATGAATATAAAAGCCTGGGTGCCTTGCAGCCCAAATTCATGCAATTGGATGGCTTGTTGTAATCAAGCACCCGCGTTAGCGTTCTGTTGTGATGAAATAAGTGCTCCGTAATTTAGTCCTCAAGTGCTTCTGGCATTTCAACTCTTTGTTGGCATATAAAGCATACGTTTCTCCTGTAGTAAAAAGTAATTTATTGACTTTAAAAAAAAACTTTATCACCTGTGATGAACAGACTATTGGCCTCATAAGCCTTTCTATTCAAACATTACTGGGCAGAAGTTGGCTTGCTCAAATCTTAGCAAATTGAAATTCAATCCAGATCAATAAGTTTTTTTTAATTCAATTTGGTCCTGGAATGGAAATAATCATCACATTTTATAGTAAGTGTGTCTAATTTCAATTTTCATACTCTATTTATTCTGTATAATCAAGCATAACTGCTGGCCTTGTTCCTTTGAGCTGACAAATTCGTGGGATAGATGTGCGCCTAGCAGGTAACTCTTTATTTGGGAGGTAGTAGGGAAAGACTGTGCTTAGACATAATAATGAAAATTTGATAAATGTCAACCTAGAACTTATAAGTGTCCCTAGGAATTTAAAACAATTCTATTTTCTCATTGTCTACATAGGTAACAAAAACGTATGCATAATGGTGCATTATTTTACTTAAATAGCAACTAGTTTGTCTCTATGAAATGCTTCCAACAGAAAAAAATATAAAGGACTATAAATTAGATGTAGTTCTTAGCTAAAATATTCTGTGATGGGCTATCAGAATTGAAGTAGTTAAATGCACTGTGTCAGTTAGCTTTTGCTGTGTAACAAACCACTTAACCTTACTGGTTTAACATGACGACCATTTATTAGCTCATTCTATGAAAGCAATTTCAGCTGCACTCTGCTTGGAAGTTCTGGTCTGGGCTAGACTTATGTGAGCATCTGTGATAACCTTGGTCAGCTTGTGGATCATCAGAGACCACCTGGCCACTCAGATCACTGGTGGTTAAACCATGGTTGGCTCAGGGTTGGGCGCAGTGGCTCACGCTTGTAATCCCAGCACTTTGGGAGGACGAAGTGAGTGGATCACCTGAGGTCAGGAGTTCGAGACCAGCCTGACTAACATGGTGAAACCCCATCTCTACTAAAAATACAAAAATTAGCCGGGCATGGTGGCACACTCCTGTAGTCCCAGCTACTCAGGAGGCTGAGACAGAAGAATTGCTTGAACCTGGGAAGCAGAGGTTGCATTGAGCTGCGATCACACCACTGCACTCCAGCCTGGGCAAAAAAGTGAGACTCCATCTGAAAACCAAAACGGAAACAAAAACAAAAATAAAACCATGCTTGGCTCAGTTGTTGGAGGCAATCATCTCATCCTCCAGAGGGCTGGTGGGCGCATATTTGCATAGTGGTCTCGGGTCTCTAAGTGTATCAATAAACATGCCTCAGCACATGAGCACTTCTCAAGTTGCTGCACATCTCATATTTGCTAATTTCCCATTTGTCAAAGCAATCTGGTTTCCAATCCCAGCGTCTGTGTAAGAGGACACTACCAAAGTGAATGAAGGCAGAGAGTGAGAGCAAATTGGAGTCACTGCTGCCATCAACCTGCCTCTGCCTGCACTACCAAAGTGAATGGAGACACAGAGTGAGAGCAAATTGGAGTCACTGCTGCCATCAACCTGCCTCTGCCTGCACTACCTCATGAGCTGTTCTTTCAGCACTCCCTCCTGCATATCCGTAGAGCACCACTTCCTGATTTCTAGAGCTGGGTTGTATTTGCGAATATTTCAACAGCCTTTGCCTAATTCCTGATAACAAAATAAAGGTACATTTATGAAAATATTTTAATTACCTTGCTATAATATAAAAGTTCCAAAATTTTTCTAATATATTAATTTTGAATTTTCAGTTTATTCTCTAGCTATTTTTCGAATTCTAGACTTACGTGACCATGCAAGACGTCCTACGTATTTTAGATATATTTGCAACATACTAAAATTATTTCAAGTTTTGACTCTGTTTAAAATTGCAATCCCAAACGATGTAGTTCCTCTCCTCCTTACCTTTTACTATTTTCTTCTCATGACACTCATCCTCCTTTAAATTCTCTGTAAATTATTGTGTTTATTGTCTGGTTTCCCCACATTGGGATGTATGTTATTTATACAGCCCAAAGCCTGAAATGAGGCCATTATTTGGTATGTGCTCACTGGATGCTTTTTGAGATGAATTAAATTGAGCTCTGCCAAAACACCATATACAAACCAGATGTACTCAACATTCATTCTTAAATTTAACTTAGATTGGATAGAGTTAGGCGTTGTAACTCTGAAGCTTATGTAGACAGTTGGCTTCCTCTAGAAATTCTTGATAACTATTCTTTCCCCAAATAAATACACAAATTATAAGAGTGACAGGGAAAGAGAAATCCAGGGTAAGGAACATGTATATATTCATACATACATGTATATGATGTTTAGCTTTACGTGCCCACTTAACTGGGCTAAAGGATGCCTAGAAAACTGGGAAATCATACTTTTTGCGTGTGTCTGTGAATGTGTTCCCAGAAAAGATTAGCATTTGACTTAGTATACCGAGTAAAGGAAATCACCTTCACTAAGCAGCTGGGCACTCCCATCCAATCCACTGAGGGCCCAAATAGAGCAAAAACACAGAGAAAGGGAGAATTTTCTCTCTGTTTGACCTAGGACATCCATCTTCTCCTGCCCTGGAGCACTGGTGCTCCTGATTTTCTTTTTTCTGTTTTAGAGCTGGGGTCTCTCTATGTTGCTCAGGCTGGTCTCAAACTCCTGGCTCAAGTGATCCTCCCACTTCAGCCCCCCAAATCGGTGGGATGACAGATACTGACACCACAGCCAGCTAGTGTGGTGGTCCTAATTTGTGGGCCTTTGGACTCAGACCTAATTATACCATCGGCTTTCCTAGTTCTTCAGCAGATCATGGGACTTCTCAGTCTTTAGAATTATGGGAGCCAATTCCCATAATAATCCTATAATAAATCTCTCTCTCCCTGTCATTCTTGTGTGTGCACGCTCTCTCTCTCTCTATGTCTCTCTTTGTATATATACATGGAGTCATGTGTCACTTAACAAGGGGGGATACATTCTGAGAAATGCGTTGTTAGGCAATTTTGCCTTTGTGTGAACATTCTAGAGTGCATTTACACACATCTAGTTGGCACAGCCTCCTACACACCTGGACTAGACAGTAGAGCCTATTGTTCTAGGCTGCAAACTTGTACAGGAGGTTACTGTGCTGAATACTGCAGGCAACGGAAACACAATGGTATTTGTGTACCCAAACATAGAAAAGGGACGGTAAAATTATGGTATAAAATATAAAAACTGGTATACCTGTGTAGTTCACTTCACATGAATAGAGCTTGAAGGACTGGAAGCTACTCTGGGTAAGTCACTGAGTGAGTAGTGAGCGCCTATGAAGGTCTGGGTAACAACTGCAAACTTCATGAAAACTACTTAGAGGCTACACTACATCATTAAAAAAGAAACGCTCTTCCTTCCTTAATAAATTAAAGTTGGCTGATGTAACATTTTCACTTCATAAACTTTTAATTTTAACCTTTTGACTGTTTTAACCTTTTGACTATTTTGTAATAACACTTAGCTTGAAACATAGGCATATTGTACAGCTGCAGAAAAATATTTTCTTTATATCTCTATAAGTTTTCCTCTATGTTTATTAATTTTTAGTTTTTTAAACTAATACACAAACACACATTAGCCTAGGCCTACACGGGGGTCAGCATCATGAATATCACTGTCTTCCACCTCCATCTTGTCCCACGGGAAGGGCTTCAGGGGCCAAACACACATGAAGCTGTCATCTCCTGTGATAGCAATGCCTTCTGGAAGAGCTCCTTAAGGAGGTACCTGAGGCTGCTTTACAGTTCACTGTTTTTGTAAGTAGAAATACACTCTACCATAATGATAAAACATACGATATAGTAAACACATAAACAGGTAACAGTCATTTATTATTATTGTCAAATATGTACTGTACATAATTACATGTGCTATATTTTTTTTTTTTCAGATGGAGTCTAGCTCTATTGCCCAAGCTGGAGTACAATGGCACGATCTTGGCTCATTGCAACCTCCGCCTCCTGGGTTCAAGCAATTCTCCTGCTGCAGCCTCCAGAGTAGCTGGGACTATAGGCACGCACCACCATGCCCGGCGAATTTTTGTATTTTTAGTAGAGACGGGGTTTCATTATGTTGGCCAGGCTAGTCTCAAACTCCTGACCTCAGGTGATCCACTAACCTCGGCCTCCCAAAGGGCTGGGATTACTGGCATGAACCACCGTGCCTGGGCTGTGCTATACTTTTATATGACCGGCAGCACGATTTGTTTACACCAGCATCACCACAAACATGTGAGTAATGCGCTGCACTATGACTTTATTCTGGCCACAGCATCACCAGGCAATAGGAATTTTCCAGCTCCACTAGAATCTCATGTCATGGTACCACCATTGTCTATGTGGTCTTCTGTTAAACATTGTTACGAGGTGCTTGGCGGGGTGTGTGTGTGTGTGTGTATGTGTGCACATATATGTGTGTGTGGATGTGTGTGTGTGCGCCAGGGTGTGGGTGTGTGTGTGTGTATATATGTGCGTGTGTTCTGTCTCTGGAGAACTATCCCTAATACGCTGTATATAACATATACATTTATGGATATATCTATGTAAAGACATGCATAGATACAGATGCGTGTATATGTAATATACACAGACATTTAAATCTGCAGAAAATGTATTTTGGATGAAATTCATTTTTCCATTTTTATTTCATAATTAACTTCATCATTCCAAAAGGCCCCACCCAGGAAACAACATTTGTAAAAAGTAATGAAGTAGATTTAATCTAGTTGAAATTAGTTTAGATCCAATAGTTTAAAGAGCCCTTGTTACTAATTCTCAGTGTTTTGGAATAACAGCTCTGTGTCTGGCTATATGCATCGTGGTTAAATGCACAGATTCTAGAACTGAATGGCCGAGAGCACATCCCTTGCTCTTTCACTCACTAATGTGACCTGGAGCAAGTCATTTACCACCTCCATACACTCATCCCTCCGTATCCGCAGGGGAGTGGCTCTAGGACCCCCAAAGACACCAAAATCTACAGATGCTCAAGTCCCTGATATAACAAGGCACACTATTTCATATAAGCTACACACATCCTCGCTTTTTCTTTAATCATCTCTAGATTACTTAGAATACCTAATACAATGTAAATGCTATGTGAATAGTTGTTATACGGTTTCGTTTAAGGAATAATGACAAGAAAAAAGTCTGTACCTGCTCAGTACAGATGCGATTTTTTTTTAATTTTTGAATATTTTCAATCTACAGTTGGTTGAATCCAAGGATGTGGAGCCCACGGATCCAGAGAGCCAACTGTACTCAATATGATTTTTTACAGATTCTTCCATATTTCAAGCACTGTGCAAGGCACTAGAATAGAACAACAGACAAGACCTACAAGAAGCCTCTTGGGGCTGGGCGCGGTGGCTCACACCTGTAATCCCAGCACTTTAGGAGGCTGAGGTGGGCGGATCACAAGGTCAGGAGTTTGAGACCAGTCTGGCCAACATAGTGAAACCCCATCTCTACTAAAAATACAAAAAATTAGCCGGGCGTGGTAATGCGCACCTGTAATCCCAGCTACTCGGGAGGCTGAGGTAGGAGAATCGCGTGAACTCAGGAGGTGGAGGTTGCAGTGAGCCAAGGTCACGCTATTGCACTCCAGCCCAGGCGACAGTGTAAGACTCCATCTCAAACAAACAAACACAAAACAAAACAAAACAAAAAAGAAGCCTCTTGGACTTAGTCTGGTGGTAAATAGACAATGACAAGGCAGTGGTGTGTGTTATGGTAACACAGTACCAAGCGCTATGGGATACTGTGGACACACACATAAGGGCTTCTCCACTTAAACTTACGAATTTATGGAAGATTTTCCCAAGTCTGTTACTCGAAATGAAGATAAAAATGAGGAATAGAAGTTAACTATATAAAGTATGGGTTGTAGGTAGGAAGGAAAAATGCTGTAGAGAAAAATGCTTGATGCTAGAGATGACATGGTGTGGTTTAGGAACTGAAAACAGGGCACCTGGACTGCAACTAGACTGAGGGCGGCAGGAAGAGTGGAGTCAAGACTGAATGGTACAGAAACAGTGTGTAACATAGAGAAGTTCATTTGAGCTTTATACATTCTGACTTGCCTTTCAGAATCGATTACCTTAAAAATAGCTAATTTGACAGCTAAGCCTGGTGGCGGCGCCTGTCGTCCCAGCTACTCGCGAGGCTGAGGCAGGAGAATGGCGGGAAGCCGGAAGGCGGGGCTTGCAGTGAGCCCAGATCGCGCCACTTCACTCCAGCCTGGGCACAGAGTGAGATTCTGTCTCCAAAAACAAACAAACAAACAAAATATATATATATATGCAAATATATATATATGCAAATATATATATATATGCGCATATATATATAATTATGGCCAGGCACAAAAACATCTGGAGTCCAGAGGATGGCACCAAATATGACTTCCCTTTTCCTCTCAAGCAGACAACGGTTCGCCACAGAGAGCCCACCGAGACGAAAGGGCATCAGGAGCCGTGTCTCCTGGACGTTGCCTTCCACTCCCTGTGCTTCCTCTCATCCAGCTTTTCCTCCCTGCTTCATGTCTCCTCAGTCGTTTCTATTCCTCTATCTGCCGCCAAAGGGCGGAGATGCCTTCAGGTCGTGTGTAGAAACCCCAGACGGGTTTAGTGAACCTGAGAGCACAGGGTGTGCCTGAATCCTGAGGAGATTCCAGGAAAGCCGCAGCGCCCCGTGACCCCGCGCGGCCCAGGAATCAGCGAGCGGAGCGTCTTTTTCGTTTGTCTCAGCTGTCAGGTGCCAGATTGACAGAGACCCGTACCTGACGGCCTGAGAACCCTAGAGGGCCAGGGAAGTCGTCACGTACTTCAGCTTGCCAGAGAGGGATGGAGAAGCCGCTGACGGAGGCCTGTGACCATCAAGCGGGCGTGTGGCCAGAAGAGAGGGTTCCTCTGGGAACTGGCAGCTGAGACCAAACAAAATGGCGGACACCCCCACAGACGCCCCTGTGCGGAGGAGAGGATCGCCAAGGGTGAGAAACCTCCCCCCACCTCACACACGTGGCGCCAGGAGGGCCGCCAAGAATCTGACTTGACTCTGGACAAAGAGGGTGCTTAAATGGCCAGAGGAGACTCTGAATATTATTAATATGTGAGTTTTCACTACTTGATGGAAAAATCCACAAAAAAAATGACATTCAGCTATAAAAGAAGTAAATTGGCCACTTCACCCATGAAATTTGTCTGGGAATCTTTATCTGCTCTACCCGCAAAGGCTCTGCTTCCGCCTTGTCTCTCTCTCCCTCTCCCTCCCTCCCTCCCTCCCTCTCTCTCTCTCTCTCTCTCTCTCTCTCTCACCCCACTCCACCAAAGCAGAAGGGAAATACAGACAGTCGGATGAGATGCATAGAAGATCATCCTGTCAAATAAAGGCAATTTTCAGCGATGGAAAAAGGAATATTTTTATGATCATTATTGTAGGTATGTTTTTGTATCGTATTCAAAAGCGTATCTTGGCTACAATAATTAATGTAACATCATTAGGAAAAGAAAACCTCAACATGCCTCCTCTTCCTTTCTTTACTCACAGAATAATGGAATAAAAATGTCTGTGAATAAACTCATTCTTTTGCCAATGATAAGAAAGCATTTTCTTAAGAAAAATTAGAATCCTCTATTTTCCATTCCTGCTAATTATTTGAATTTAACTCTTGGGTCTGCTATCTAAACAAGTCTACTAGGATGTACTGAAGACAAATATAAGGATTTAACAAAAAATATCATTAGTTAATCTAATTCCAAAGAGCAGAACTTTCTTGGAGAAATTAACAGTGAAAGGAATATTCTATCAAAGGTATTTTTAATTTTAAAATGCTGAAGTCAAAAGACTGATTATCTCATAAAAGGAAATAAAGAATCATCAGTAGCTTTACTGACTGCTTTTTCTTAAGTTTTATTATTGTTTCAAAGAACTTTTTTACACGTTATCAGAATTTGAGAGAAAATATTGATTTATTATCTTGACCCATTCAAGCTAAAAATATATTACTGAAACTATTTTAATCAAATGTTTGCAAATTATATATTGCTTGAATTTTCAAAAGACATTCGCTTTAATAAATATTGATTTTTAACAAAAACATTTTATTTCTTGAAAGTTGACAGATACTTTTCGTTTCTTTTCTTAAAGACAATTAAATACAACAAGCTTTGTGGAAAGAAAACATTGGCAAAATTCAGTTAACTATAAATATAGCCAACCTCCTGAAAGGAATATTATGAAGACTAACAAAGTCAGAAACAAGCAAATGCACAGTGGTTATTATTCCAGTCCAAATTATGATTACAATTGTGTACAATTTCCTAGTCAAAACCAATTTCTTATTTGTTCCCAATTCCGGATAGAAACCTTAAAGTAAATTACAAGTATGAGCTAAGTTTTCTTTGCCAGTAGTGTTTGGCAAACAATCGCCTTGTGATCACTGTAGATGATCAATTTAATTAGATGTCAGAATCAATGAACCACAGGCGAGTGAGGTGAATTGCAACCATGAAGTCTAACCCTTTTTCCAAGGCAAAGATACACTGAATTTGAGGTGTTTATTGTTTTAGCTTTCCATGATTTAAGACTATCATCAGAAGGCATAGCCTTCTCTCTTTAGAATCTACAGTTCTGCAGTGCCTACAAATTGTAAATGACATGTGAAGCTTTCACAAATTTGCTCTGAGTTATTAGGTATATAATCCAAGCCCATGTGGAACTTTCCCTTATGGAACTCCTCAGGGCTGAGCGCTCCCCACATATTTGCCAGCATGACTGAACTGGGGTTGTACAGAGAAGTGAGGGCCTAGAAATGTAATGGATGGACTTTAGCCACAACCTGTCTGATATGAGCACACAATTCCAGAGTCGGTAAGTCAGGCTGATTAATGGAAGTGAGCAGCTCAGAATAAGTGGCAGTTCAAAGACAATAAATCTCGCAGTGTAGCCAAGCTCTAGCCCATTCTTTTTTTTTCATGGAGTCTCTCGCTCTGTTACCCAGGCTGGAGTGCAGTGGCGCGATCTTGGCTCACTGCAACTTTTCGCCTCCCGGGTTCAAGTGATTCTCCTGCCTCAGCCTCCCGGGTAGCTGGGACTACAGATGCACACCACCATGCCCGGCTAATTTTTTGTATTTTTAGTAAAGACAGCATTTCGCCTTGTTAGCCAGGATGGTCTCCATCTCCTGACCTCGTGATCCACCCGCCTCGGCCTCCCAAAGTGTCAGCATTACAGGTGTGAGCCACCGCGCCTGGCCTTAGCCCACTCTTTTGAAGATGACAGGGAAGCAAATATGTGGCACAGTGAAGACTGTGAGAAATAGAACTGTCTCAGACAAGTGTGCATACTCCAAATACAAGTACAGAAAACATCCAAGACTACTAACAGAAATCAGGAAAAATATCAAATCAGAACATGGAACACTGCAACTTCTCATTTTAGAAAAAGACAATGTAGTTATTTGAAGTAAAAACACTTCCAAATTTTCAATGTATTGTTTTAAAACATGAATGCACTGAAGACAAATATAAGGATTTAACAAAAAATCTCAATCTGATTCCAGAGAGCTGAACTTTCTTGGAGAAATTAACAATTGAAAGAATATTCTATCAAAGATATGTCTAATTTTAAAATGCTGAAGCCCAAAGACAGATTATATCCTAAAATGAAATGAGCTATACTTCTTTTTGTCTTGAGGGAGGAAAAGTTTTTCAGAGATGAGAATCTTTTCTGAAAAATTACTATGTGTAATGTTCAAATAGCACACACACATGCATACCTGCTAACTGCTTTTTTGTTGATCTTGGCTTCTCCAAATGCTATGATGATATAATAATCCATATGGGGAAAGAGGATCTTCAGTTTCTTTACATTCTGAACTGGGATTGATAGATTTCATTTGGCTTCCCCAACACTGATACTGGGAGATGCAAACTTTCAGCGGAAGTGATCTGGTTGAAGGGGCAGAATGCAACACTCAGCACTAGCTGAAACACGTTAACCGTGTACAAGGCCAGAAGCCTGGGGATATTGGAAAGCAGGAAGACCGGAAGTTCGGACTTTGCCAAGCCTGTGGCCCTCTCCCTCTCTTCCCAGACAATGATGTATCCTGTGATTACTGGGAGTCATAGATGGGAGGTTGGTAGGGTCTCCCCTCAGACACAGAGAATAAAGAGTAAGAATAAATGAGTTAATTCTCTTTTAAGAATCTATTTTTTTTTTCTTTCTTAAGAACCAGAACAGCTGGAAAATATTTAAGCAGGGCTTAGTCAGCCCTGAAAAATCTTTTCTCAGTGTCCTAGGGAAGTTTTATCAGAGCAAACGTATGAAAGCAGCACGGAATTGCAGAGTATATAATCCTAGAATATCCTGGCAAACTTTAACATCTACACAGATGATAAAAATGGTCACTACTTATAGAGCACTTCTTATCTACCAGGAACATTAAGTGCACTGTATCATTTAATCCTTTCAACAACTCTTGGAGATAGGATCCCTGTCCCAGAAATAAAGAAGTAAAGTGAGTTTCCTACTTTCCCAAGATTATACAGCTGGTGAGACGTGAGGCCTACATTTAGGATCAGAGCAGCTGATTTCAAAGAATGTGTGAAGGGATGCTTACGTGGGGGAAGACATGCTCGGGTCGGAAACATCTCCAACCTAAAGCACTTGGAACTAACATTTTAAAATCAAGCCAGAGAAAAATTAATTCTGTACTTATTTTTTACATTTTAATTTAATTTTAATTTTGTGTTATTATTATTTCTGTACTACTACTCTCCTTCACCTTTAAAACAATTAGAAGACAGAGAAATAGGCAAACAAAGAAGAGAAAAAAGCGAATATGTTGCTGGTCTGACTGAAGTCCAGATCCTAGGGCTGCAGGCAGTGTTCTAACATGGCAGAAGCAGGTGCCATCAGACTCAATGATGCCAACGTACCCTCCAGGAAGGAGTGATCATTGCAAAAGGCAGATTGCAGGCTATTCTGTGAGCAAGCAGTTGGGGTTTGTGACCAAAACAATTTACATTTGAATTACCCACACTAAACAAAATGAGTACAAATGGGGGGAGAAGGGAACATGATATAAGGTTAATAACCTCAACTCTAGATGTCCTCAAAAGATAGGTGGAACAGATAGAATGAAGGTGACAGCAGGGAGGATAGTGGTGGTGGCTAACACCTCAGGAACTCTTGGTTTTAGAATCAGATTTCATTAATTGAAAGCAATAAAATGGGGCAGTAAAACAAACGCTTCGGGAAGAAAGAAACCCGTATTGGGTAAAGCTCAAAGTCCTAGTGATGCCAAGATATTGAGTTAATTAGGTTAGGAAAAAAGTATTCATGAATAAGGTAATTGAACACTACAACTTTGTAGCCTTTTTTTTTCTTTGAGAGTATCTGATCTACAGTGTATCATTTGCAAAATCTCATATCAACCAGTGGAAATGAAACGGTAGAGTTCCCTGACCCCCCTCACAGGACATGCGACAGGGGTGTGGCTCGTATGTTCTGCCACTGCACACTCAAACCCCTTATGGGAGGGGGGCACACAGGCAGGTGCAGGAGCCAGGCTGAGTGTGTTTTGGGCTCTGGCCCCATGGTAGCATCTAAGGGTGGGTGCCTGCAACTCCCAAAGCCCAAGTGGACGTGTGTTACAGTGCACTCTTTTAGCTTTGCTGTTTGCAGATGGCTTAAGTGTTAACCAGCTCAGTGCCCTCTCAGTACCCAGGTCCTTGTCCAGAATCCAGGAAGAATCAGATTTCACACAGACTTGAAGGATGAATGCGGGGGTTTTATTGAGTGGTGGAGGTGGCTTTCAGTGGGATGGATGGGGAGCTGGAAGGTGGATGGAGTGGGAAGATGATCTTCCCCTGGAGTTTGGCCATCCAGCAGCCAATCTCCTCTCCAACCATCCCTAGCTGAACTCCTCTCGATGTTCAGATGTTCCTTCTCTTCTCTCTGCCACACCATTCTGCTATTCTTCTACTCTTCTGTTTGTTACTTCCTTGCCTGCTTCTGGAGCCTGGGGATTGGGGTTTATATGGGTACAGGATAGTGGGGCATGGCAGGTGAAAAGGCAACTTTTGGGCAGGAAAACAGGAATGCCTGTTGCCACTTAGAGCCATGGGCTTCCAGGCTTGAAGGCAGAGCCTTTGTCAGGGCACCATCATCTTCTACCCAGTATTTCCCTGTCTCCTGTCTGTATCAGAAATATAAATTTTTGTTCTGTATTAATTCAATGGGGGAAAAGACAGTTAAATCTTCCAATCTTACAGTTGAATGTTAACATTTAATTTTGCTACTAAAATAAATGATTAATATCACTACCCTGAAATTTGATAAATTTTAATATTATATCTCTGCACTCACACAGACAGTTACAAGTAATAACAATACTAAAAAAAAAAAAGAAAAAAAACTTCTAGAAAGAGAATGGAGGAAATGGGAAACTCTTATATAAAGTTTTATTTAAACTATCCCTGATTGAAATGTTGGTTAAATGTGGTAGTGTAAGCACAAATGTTATCTGCTCTGCCTTAAGAAAATCAACTAAGGCCGGGCGTGGTGGCTCACGCCTGTAATCCCAACACTTTGGGAGGCCGAGGCGGACAGATCACCTGAGGTCAGGAGTTCGAGACCAGCCCGGCCAAGATGGTGAAACCCCGTCTCTACTAAAAATACAAAAATTAGCCAGGCATGGTGGCGGGTGCCTGTAGTCCCAGCTGCTCAGGAGGCTGAGGCGGGAGAATCACTTGAACCCAGGAGGTGGAGGTTGCAGTGAGCTGAGATCGCACCATTGCACTCCAGCCTGGGGGACAGAGCAAGACTCTGTCTCAAAAAAAAAAGAAAGAAGAAAGAAAATCAACTACGAGGACAGCAAAATAAATTAAAACATCCTTAAGCCCACTAGGACAAAAGAATGGGAGTAGTATTAGAATATAAAAAGTTTAATATTTCTTTGACATTTAACAGACTAGTAGGCATTGATTTAGTACAATAAAGAAAGCCACAACCTACGAAGAAAACAAATGTGATTCACTCAGAGAATCTCAGAAAGTTTCCTAGCTAGGAGTCAGCAAATAAGCAACCATGGGGGACTGGGTGAGGCTTAAATTCAGAAATAAAGTGATTACGTGTGTTCTAATTGCAGGCACACAAGACCGTTCCCGTGGCTCCCAGAAGGCTGCGGTCAGACGTTATCTCCAAGGAGGAAATTCTCCTTTAGACACTGGGGTCAGGTGATGCCCAACAACAAAGGTCCGCTCTGTTAAGGGGACCACTGGCCAATACGCCATCCCATACGGACTCCCAATCATCTCCCAGTGCATCACACTTAGTCATGAATGCAGAGCCAAGGACCACTGGCCAATACACCCACTCCCTACGGACTCCCAGTCATCTCCCAGTGCATCACACTTAGTCATGAATGCAGAGCCAAGGACCACTGGCCAATACACCCACTCCCTACGGACTCCCAGTCATCTCCCAGTGCATCACACTTAGTCATGAATGCAGAGACAAGGACCACTGGCCAATACGCCCACTCCCTACGGACTCCCAGTCATCTCCCAGTGCATCACACTTAGTCATGAATGCAGAGGCAAGGACCACTGGCCAATACGCCCACTCCCTACGGACTCCCAGTCATCTCCCAGTGCATCACACTTAGTCATGAATGCAGAGGCAAGGATCAGGAGGCACTGGGGACAGAGTTTTCATGTGAGTGGAACAAAATCAGTCTGACAGATTAAAGGAAACACAAAAGAAGAGAGAGAGTGCAGAAACAGAAAAAGTTATATTCGGAACCCTATTTCTAAGTATCTTTGAAGATACAAGACCTACAGCAAGAAAAAGATAGCAAGGAGAAGCAGCTCTTTCGTAATGCATATATAGGTGGTAAAATTATAAACACAGCTAAGACATGATGACACTAAAGGCAGAAAAGTGTTTGACTCCTGGGGGTACTGGGGTAGGGGCATGAGGAAGAGTGTGGTGACTGGAGAGGGACACCTGGGAGACTGCTAGGTTTTGGTAAGACTTTATTTCTTTACCTGTGTGGTTGTTGCATATTATATGGCTTTATAACCACTTGTTAAATATACATTTACATTTTGCACATCTTTCTATATGTATGCTGTATGTCTCTTTCTCTCACACACACACACAGTGATAAAGGGCAAAAATGGAGAAATTGAAAGGGCTCTTGGAAAATACAACTCTGACAATACCCCACCCTCCTTCCAAAAAAAGAAAAGATTGAAAGTGGAAGATGGAAAGTCGAGGTGGGAAATGAGGAAGCGTATTTGCAGATGATATAAAGAAAACATTCTCCCAAAATCATCCACAGAACTTGAAATAGAAAGGAAAAGTCTACTTTTAATGAAAACAGGAGTGAGGTGAAATGCCAAACCTCAACACAGAGAAAAAGCCTGCCAGCCCAGGGCAAACTGAGCAGGGCTGCTTGTGGGGAGGAGCAGAGTACTGACACTGAGGCCGCGGACACCATAAAGCCCAATGTGAGAGGCCCGTCCTAGAGGGCTCGCCACAGTGGCACTGGAGGCACGGGCTGCTACTAATTTCCCCCGGTCCCGGGTCACAGTCTAGAAACAGAGGTAGAGTTAGACGTGGGCCACCAAACCCACCACAGCCAGATGACAGGCTGGGGCAGAGCAATGGCCGCTGGATACCAAATATGACTGTGAGGCTCTACCTTGTCCTAGCCAGGGACCTGGCCCTCCATGAAATGCTTCCCTCTACCTACAGGAAAGAGACGGTTCAGGAGAAACAAAACATAGTCCAAAATGAGGAATCAGAATTAATTATAAATGCCTTAAAATAATGCAAAATAAGCAGAGTTACACAAGCAGAAAATGCATGCCCGATCCAGAAAGTGCATCCGAAACTGTAAAATGTGGCCACTGAGAAGCTGCACCAAATATTTTACCACTATTAACAACAGGCAGGCGCAGTGGCTCACGCCTGTAATCCCAGCACTTTGGGAGGGCGAGGCGGCTGGATCATTTGAGGTCAGGAGTTCGAGACCACCCGGGCCAACATGGTGAAAACCCATCTCTACTAAAAATACAAAAATTAGCTGGGCGGTGGTGGCGCTCGCCTGTAATCCCAGCTACCTGGGAGGCAGAGGCGGGAGAGTTGCTTGAGCCTCAGAGGCAGAGGTTGCTGTAAGCTGAGATCACGTCACTGCACTCCAGTCTGGGTGACAGAGAGAGACCCTGTCTCAAAAAAAACACGAAAAACAAAAAACAAACAAAAAAAAACAACAAAAAACAACAACAACAAAAGAATGCAAAATAATGAAACAATCGCCACGCTGAGCCAGAGGCAAATGGCCAACCACCAGACCACAGGCAGGCTATGACGGGCTAGTCGCCCTCTGCCATCCTGCTAAGGCACTGCAGTCATGTGAGCAAGCCTGGGCGAGATTAGCCAGAGCCAGCCCAGACCATGGGAACTCTTCAGCAGATCCTTAGGTTAACAAACTGTTGCTGTTTGAAGTGACTAAATTTGGGGATAATTTCCTAATCAACAGAAGCTAACAGACACACTTGGAAATTACAGATTTGAAATAGATGTGGAATGTCTCCCTCATCACCTATGTTCCATTGCCCTTGGAACAGGGGGGCTGTGAATCAATATGTGGCTTGTAGCTTTGTGTCTAGAAATAGCATAAAAAATTGTTGGGAAATCAAGGCGGTGGCTTCTGATTATCCATGTGGCCCGCAAGCACCCTGACTCTTGTTTGTGGCAGCCACATAGGCCCTGGATAGGTGAAAGGGCAAAGGGAGCTGTGGGTGCCCCAGGACACCAGCTGTGTCTCCCGGCCTGTATCCTCCTTTAAAGCCCAGTAAATGTAGCATCAGATTAAAGCTGTCTGTGTCTTGCAAGTCTGATGGCCAGCTTGAATCTGTAATCACAAGGGCAGTGTGTAGCAGTATTCAATACTGAAAGAGCTGAG
This sequence comes from Homo sapiens, assembly GCF_000001405.40. Taxonomy (NCBI): domain Eukaryota; kingdom Metazoa; phylum Chordata; class Mammalia; order Primates; family Hominidae; genus Homo; species Homo sapiens. The sequence goes on along the minus strand of NT_187545.1, from coordinate 61,470 downwards.
ACCTGTGAAATTTTGCACCAAGAAAGTGCAACCCGGAAATTTTATACCAACTATTATTTCAATCAAGTATAAACGCAATACAAACTGATTTTTGAATGTTCAAAGATATGGGAACATTGTTTATATGGAACTGCTTGGAAAATCTAGCAAACAACAATCATCAGTGAACCAAATGTTGATAGGGTATGAAAAGTTGCAGCCAGGGCCTGGTGACGAGCATGGAACCTGCCTGATGGTAGGAGAACTCAGTGAAAGAGACAAGAACGGGAACAGAATGTCAGCACTACAAATGTTAAAACCATCGCTGTGATCTGACTACCACGGAGTGTTTTGTGTGGCATCACTGATTTTCTTCTCTTTAAAACACAGGGCAGAAAAAGCATAGAAGTAAGAAAAAGTAGCAGAAAAGAAAAAATAAGCGTGTGATTCACAATGAAGATATGCCAGTTATGAATTCTAGAGATTAAATAACAGAGCATCAATGTTCTTAAAACAAAAAGTAGGCCGGGCGCGGTGGCTCACGCCTGTAATCCCAGAACTTTGGGAGGCCGAGGTGGGCGGATCACGAGATCAGGAGATCAAGACCATGCTGGCTAACATGGTGAAAGCCCGTCTCTACTAAAAATAAAAAAAATTAGCCAGGCATGGTGGCGGGCGCCTGTAGTCCCAGCTACTCCGGAGGCTGAGGCAGGAAATGGCATGAACCTGGGAGGCAGAGCTCGCAGTGAGCCAGGATCGCGCCACTGCACTCCAGCCTGCGCGACACAGCAAGATTCCGTCTCAAAAAAAAAAAAAAAAAAAAAAAAAAAAGTAGAGCATGCATAAGGAAAGACACAGACACAGGAGCACAGCAGGGAAAATTACATCACCTCTATCAGGCTGTGACTGCTGAAGAGAGCAATAGTAAGTCATGATGTAAAAATGTAAATCACATAGTTTTCTCTAATTGACAGATAACAAACTTGGCACCTTAAAAATATAGAATGCTTTTTTTTTTGATTCCACAGATCATAAAAAAGACTATATTTCAGACCACAAAACTTCAGTAATTTCTAAAAAGCATTTTTAATTATTTGATTAAGATGCAGTGAAATTAAATAAACAATAAAACTCCAAAACACTAAAAAACATACAGTTTTTGGAAGTTTTCTTATATCATTAAGGGCCAAAGAGAAAAACGTTGAAGAATATTTGTAAAAGAACTGACCACATATGACAACATCTGTATGACCCAGGTAGATCTGCACTCAGAAGAAATTCTAGAGCCTTAAATCATCATATTAATAAAAACAAGAAAAAACTTTAATATATCAACAAAATATAGACAAAATATATAAAATAGACAGAAAATTAAGGCAGAACTTACTGACTAAAGCAAAATGGTAGTAGTAGTAGTATTTTTTAATTTAAGAGCTGTATCTTTAGCGAAGAATTTAATATGTAAACTACCTTATTCAAGAAAAAAAGAGAATGATAGTACATTAAGCAAGAAATAAGTAAAGGTCAATCACAGATAGAGACCCCTGCAATAGACCACTAAGACTACTTAATTTCATGCAAAGATCGAACAGAGGCTTTGCCTAATCTCCAGGCCGTGGGAGTCTCAACCTGAGAGAGGAAGGAGTCTCTTCTCCTGGACCTGATAGTCCAGGGGAATCTGTGGGTTGAAGGTTCTGTTCACATGTTCCTATCTCACATCTCAGAGCCCTTCTTTCCATTGAGTGCCCTCACTTTGTGTAGGACCCCTTTTAGGGCTGAGAATTTAGCCTATAGTGAGTTAAATCATGGTCTCCAAAAAGATATATCCATGTCCCAGTCCCCCAAAACTATGCCTGTGACCTTATTTAGGAAAATGTTATTTGCAGATATAATTAAGTACCTCAAGATGAGATCATCTTGGGTTATCCAGGTGGGCCCAACATTCAGTGACATACAGAAGAGAAGACACACAGAAGAAAAGACAGAGAGTATAAGTCCATGTGAATATCCAGGCAGAGATGAGTGTTGCAATCAAGAGTCCAAAGAAGAGAAGACAAGCGTATGTTCCAAGCACACTTACCCAGTTTCTTGTTCTAGGCAATTCTGTGTTGAGCTCCTCTGGGGCAGAACAAAAGAGTATTGAAAGTATTGTTGTCTCTGTGGACCAAAGCCTGTACTGACCACAAAACAAAGCCCTTCTTGGATTCACCCTCAGCCCACACTCAATCATGTGGGTACATGGCAAGAAGAGACATGAAAAGATAAAATGAAAGAAAAGGGGCCTCTTTGTCTCAAATCCCAGAGAGCTGAAATCATGGCCTTCCTTCCGGATCAGGCTGAATGGTGGCCCCCAGGGAGATGAGTCCGTGTCTTATTCCAGGAACCTCTAATTGAGACCTTATTTGGAAAAAGAGTCATCAAAGATATAATTAAGGCTTTGAAATGAGATCATCTTGGATTATCTGGATGGGCCTTAAATCCTTTGAAGACACACAGGAAAGAATGATGTGGTCAGTTTTAACATGTAGATTGTATTTTAATTCAAGTATAGTGAGGCTGTGAAAGGAATATAAAAATCTCAGGACCCCAAACTCACTATGCCAAAGGGAAAAGTGAAGCTCAGTAACTGCATCATGCAAAAACTGCCTTCCATTTTGTTCCTAAGTAGATAGCTGCAAAGACAGAAGGCCACATGTCTCCCCCGGTGGCCTCCTTCACAAATTGCTCACAAGGAAATTCCTCGTGGGCCCCAAGAGCTTTACCCTAAAACAGAACGCTGTTCTATTTCACCTTGACAATGTAAACTAACAGCTTATCTTCACCGGTACCTTGACAAAGACAGGCCTAGAGGGCATCCCTTGGCTCACCTGAGAGGAATGCATATTTGAGCACCTCCTCTATGTTTACTTTATCTTATGCAAAAATGCAGACGCACTGAGCACTATGCATAATTCACTGTTTCGCTACCCACTCCTTTCACATGTAAAATGTAGATTCAGTAAGTGCTAATCAAAGCCTCCAAAGACTAACCACTTTCCTGTTTTGTCTACCTTCTCTCTCTTTTTTTTATCCTCTTTCTTCATCTGCCCTCCCTTTTCCCTTTAAATCAGGAGTGTCCAATCTTTTGGCTTCCCTGGGCCACATTGGAAGTATTGTCTTGGGCCACACATAAAATACACTAACACTAACAAAGCTGATGAGCTAAAAACCAAACACACAAACCAAAAAATGGCAAAAAATAAAATCCCATCATTTTAAGTAAGTTTAGTAATTTGCTAATTTGTGTTGGGCCTCATTCAAAGCCATCCTGGGCTGCATGTGGCCCTTGGGCTGTGGGTTGGACTAACTTGCTTTAAATATTGAAGTCCTCAAACCCTGTTTGCATGGCCACACTGGTGATCTACCTTGCTTTATATATGAAGTTAAGTTTGTAAGTATTAGTGAATATGCCTAATAATTTGATTTATTTGTAGCATTTGCATCTAGAGAATGCTTTAAGTCTCAGTTTGTTAGCCAATGGTGTAGTCACTAACTGTATTTTTAAAATAAAAAATGCTGTTGGTAAATCGTGACTACTGACCTGGCACTAAAAATGTTTAAACTTACATATTTTTGTCCCAGGAAAATGGTGATACTTTTCTAATTATGGAACAGAGACATGTGTATCCATTTCCTGCTTGTTATAAAGACCTACAGAATGCTGGCAATAGATTGAAACTATCTTCAGGAACTCTTACTACTATTACTACATAAGTCCATGCCATTGGGTCTAGAACTGACCAGCGACTCCTATTCCAAGTGGAGGTTTCCCTGCAGTCACATCCCTATCCTGTCTTACAGCTCTCTGTTAAATGCCAATCTTTTTCTTTTGCAGGGAAGAGCGTGATTAAAGAGCTCTTGTCTCCATATTGGAAACTGGCCCTGATCACTGTGGCAGCACACTGAAGTATGTGATAAATAATTTATGAACCTCGGAGGTCTGCTGTGGGGAGATATTCACCTTTGCTCCATCCGTGCACCACACATCATGCGTCAGCGCCAACACGGGCACATGCAGTTCTGCCTCAAGGTGGGTAAAGCTACACGTTCAACAAACCCGTGAGTAGAAGTGCACCAGGGGAGCTCTGCTGCCGCAACGAGACCACTTCTGGTAATTTGGGAGCAAACTGCTTTGACCAGGAACGTTGGGAGATTATACATAGAAAAGAGGTGTTGGAATTCCTTTTTATAAATGATAAATATTACCACAAAAGGATAAAAATGGAAGATGGTTTTGAATGTCGGCAAAACTGCCCGAGAACTTTAATTAGGACAATGTCGCCACAACGACTGCTTTCAAAACCATAACTTTCAGAATGCTCTGGGCACCACATGTGCCACATGAGACTTGTTAAGGCAATTTCCATTGTAACAAACAGCCTCAAAAAAAATAAAATAAAATAAGTTGCACATGCATCAAATTTGCTTTTAAAATTATACAGGATTTAAAAGAATTTTATGGCCAGATATATTGAGCAGAGCAAAAACTTTTAACAGAATACAGAGAATAAACAGAAACTATTTATTTATACATTATTCACAAATATTCCAAGTTCTTGTTTATATCATTTGCCTTTCATCAAAAGATAAAATAATAACACAGTGTTAACAGAAAAACTTCAGTAGAATTAAACTTTTGGGTTTTTTGAGACGGGTTTTGCTTTTGTTGCCCAGGCTGGAGTGTAGTGGCACGATATCTGCTCACTGCAACCTCCACCTCCCGGATTCAAGCGATTCTCCTGCCTCAGCCTCCCAAGTAGCTGGGATTACAGGCACGCACCACCACGCCTGGCTAATTTTTGTATTTTTAGTAGAGATGGAGTTTCACCATGTTGGTCAGGCTGGTCTCGAACTCCTGACCTCAGGTGATCTGCCCTCCTCAGACTCCCAAAGTGCTGGGATTACAGGCGTGAGCCACCGCACCCGGCCAGCTGAATTAAATTTAAAGGAGTTTACTTGAGCAATGAATGATGCGTGAATCAGCTCCCAGAATCGCAGCAGATTCAGAGAGACTCCAGCACAGCCACATCGTGGAAGAAAATTTGTAGACAAAAAAAGGAAAAAGATGTACAGAAATCGGAAGTGAGTTACACAAACAACTGGACTGGTTACAAGTTTGCCTTACTCGAACACAGTTTGAACACGCAGCAGTGTGTGAGTGGCTGAAGTATGGCTGCTGGACTGGCGATTGTTCCACGTACATACTCCTAAATTAGGTTTTCAATCTTGTTGTCCTATTAAGTTAGGTTATGGTTCCTCTACAAGGACTCAAGTATAGAAGTATAGAGTCCTTCCCAGGCCATATTTAGTTCGCTTTAACAATAGATAATTCTTTTTTACAATTTGAAGTGGCTGTGTTCTTAAATTATGAACTATTCCTTACATTTCTTTATATTAGAAATTCCTAGCCTTTAAAGTAACAAACAATACCTTTAATTTATTTTCATTAGTGCTTTCTGGCCAACAATACTGTAGTATTTATTAGAAACTCATAAATTAATTTCATCATAAAGAATTATTTGATAATGCTTACTCGATACAATGTGATTTTACATATAACTACACATTAAAATTGTAAGTGCCTTAACATATATAATATTATAAAAACATAGTTATTAAGAAATGTCCAAAAGCACATTGAAAAATGTGGGGCATTTATGATTTTTTTTCAAAGTAAGATTCACTTCCATAATTGTAAGAAAATCAGGCATGTCTATTTAGGTATTTGCTTATGATGTGAGCAAACCTTTATTGTGACAATCATGGGATAAGTAAAAAGAAGTAAGACACAAATCATCTTAAAGGTGTTCTATATATATATGTGTGTGTGTGTGTGTGTGTGTGTGTATATATATATATATATATTTTTTTTTAAGACAAAATCTCGCTCTGTCACCCAGGCTGGAGTGCAGTGGCGCGATCTCGGCTTACTGCAACCTCCTGGTGAGCTTTTCTCCTGCCTCAACCTCTCGAGTAGCTGGGACTACAGGCACCCGCTACCACGCCGGGTAATTTTTTGTATTTTTAGTAGAGACGGGGTTTCATCGTGTTAACCAGGATGGTCTTGAACTCCTGACCTCGTGATCCACCCACCTCAGCCTCCCAAAGTGCTGGGATTACAGGTGTGAGCCACTGCGCCCAGCCCTGTGCACAATACATTAACAGACAGATTGTAAATAATATTATAAAGTGATAAGATGACAAAACAAAACTACAGATAAAATTCTACAGGAGCAGCCAGTAGAGAGTGATTGATCCTAACTGAAGTTTAGGAGAGACTTTATTGTAAAAACATCACTTTAGGGAGCTTTTGACAAGTCAGTCGAGCTTCATACACAGAGAAACTGGGGAAAGGGGAGGGAATAGCATAGAGATGAAAAATAAGGCGTGTTTTAGTTACTACAAATATAGAATTTGAGTTAATGCATACTGTAAAATTTGCACACTACCTACCTAATGTACACAAGTAGCCGTAACTGAATAAAAGGGCTAAAGAAAGAAATAGTGGTAAAATAAAAGTATTAACTTATGTCAACAGTGGGTTTTTTTTTCCTATTTTATTTGTTTATTCCTGGATGGATTTAGTGGATTCCTCTCTATGTCCTTTTACTCTAACCACATCGATGCATACCTGACTGATTTGTAAATGCTAGCATGTACATTTTCTGCACGAGGGCTTTCTCTGACTCTGAAACCTCCTTGGCTACTTTTTCTAGGCCTGAAATGCTGGAAAGTGATCACTCATAGGTACAGCCACGACCAATGGCTGATGGAAATTGGTGTGTAAATATTACAATTACCTTGGCCCACGGGTGGGATTACTCAGGTACACATTTTACCCTGGCTTCTCGGTTTCCGCAGTAGGATTAAGCTCCAGTTGTCCACAGTGATAACGCCCTTGAAAATAAAGCCTTTTTTGTCATTATTTTCTTCCCTATCTCACTTCCTATTCTTTTCGGATCATCTACAAAATAAACCCCTCGCACTTGAATGGCTATTTTGGTCTGGGTCCCAAATTGAAATGTACATTGGGATAAAAGTACATGAAATAAAATTAAATTACACAAGCAAGAAATAAATTTTATTTATTGTAAGCCAGTGAAACTTTGAGGTTGTTTGCTGGGAAGAATAACAGGATCTGCAATGACTAAACAATAATCTATTAGAGAAAAGAAGTCAACTACAAAATTGGAATAAAAAGCATTGTGTTATAAATAACAAAGAAGGCACTTGAAAAACAGTTGCTTCTTTTACTGTCTGAATTCACCATGGAACACGGGTTGGGCCAAAATGTGGAGATTTGGAAAAGAAAGGAGAATAATACAGGTTGTTCAGCAGAAAAACAACACAACCAAATTTTGGATGAGTGTGTTGAGAGAAAATTAAAAGGAAGTGAATCTGTATAAAGATGAGGTCAATTTCTTAATTGAACCCACCACTAAAATCTGCTTATCCACTGAATCTTCTGTCTCATTAAACATAACCACTATTCTCTCAGTCACCGAAACACAATGTGCGCCATTTGCTTCTCCCATCCCTTCCGGCCTCTCAGAGCCACTCCCCACCCCTACTCAATGGATTTGCTTCTCCCATCCCTTCACTCAGGCCTCACTCCGGCCTCTCAGAGCCACTCCCCACCCCTACTCAATGGATTTGCTTCTCCCATCCCTTCACTCAGGCCTCACTCCGGCCTCTCAGAGCCACTCCCCACCCCTACTCAATGGATTTGCTTCTCCCATCCCTTCACTCAGGCCTCGCTCCGGCCTCTCAGAGCCACTCCCCACCCCTACTCAATGGATTTGCTTCTCCCATCCCTTCACTCAGGCCTCGCTCCGGCCTCTCAGAGCCACTCCCCACCCCTACTCAATGGATTTGCTTCTCCCATCCCTTCAGTCCGGCCTCACTCCGGCCTCTCAGAGCCACTCCCCACCCCTACTCAATGGATTTGCTTCTCCCATCCCTTCAGTCCGGCCTCACTCTGGCCTCTCAGAGCCACTCCCCACCCCTACTCAATGGATTTGCTTCTCCCATCCCTTCACTCAGGCCTCACTCCGGCCTCTCAGAGCCACTCCCCACCCCTACTCAATGGATTTGCTTCTCCCATCCCTTCAGTCCGGCCTCACTCCGGCCTCTCAGAGCCACTCCCCACCCCTACTCAATGGACTTGCTTCTCCCATCCCTTCACTCAGGCCTCACTCCGGCCTCTCAGAGCCACTCCCCACCCCTACTCAATGGATTTGCTTCTCCCATCCCTTCAGTCCGGCCTCACTCCGGCCTCTCAGAGCCACTCCCCACCCCTACTCAATGGATTTGCTTCTCCCATCCCTTCACTCAGGCCTCACTCTGGCCTCTCAGAGCCACTCCCCACCCCTACTCAATGGATTTGCTTCTCCCATCCCTTCAGTCCGGCCTCACTCCGGCCTCTCAGAGCCACTCCCCACCCCTACTCAATGGATTTGCTTCTCCCATCCCTTCACTCAGGCCTCACTCCGGCCTCTCAGAGCCACTCCCCACCCCTACTCAATGGATTTGCTTCTCCCATCCCTTCACTCAGGCCTCACTCCGGCCTCTCAGAGCCACTCCCCATCCCTACTCAATGGATTTGCTTCTCCCATCCCTTCACTCAGGCCTCACTCCGGCCTCTCAGAGCCACTCCCCACCCCTACTCAATGGGCGGATCGTACCAATTCTACTACCTAGGTATTTCTCAAATTTAGCCCTCCTTTTCACTCCATGCCTGCTCTCTCAGTCAGATCCTGACTTTCTCTTGCTTGATCCATCATAATATCTTGGTTCCTACACTTCCCTCCTTGAATCCTGCATCCCTCAACTCTTATCTTCCACTGTGAGGAGTGATTGAAAACATGAATCTGACCAAATCATCATTCCCCGTGTTAGCACCTGCAAGCAGACTAAATGTGGCCCTCAAGGAGAGTGAGAAAGACAATCAGTTGAGGTGTAGAAGAAAATATGAGAAACTTTATCTATTTTTTTTTTTTTTGAGACGGAGTCTTGCTCTTTCGCCCAAGCTGTAGTGCAGGGGCACAATCTCGGCTCACTGCGGCTCTGCCTCCTGGGTTCACGCCATTCTCCTGCCTCAGCCTCCCGAGTAGCTGGGACCACAGGCGCCCGCCACCACGCCCGGCTAATTTTTTTTTCCTTTTTTCTTTTTTTTTGTTTGTATTTTCAGTGGAGACGGGGTTTCACCGTGTTCGCCAGGATGGTCTCCATCTCCTGACCTCGTGATCCACCCGCCTCGGCCTCCAGAAGTGCTGGGATTACAGTCGTGAGCCACCTCGCCTGGCCAACTTTATCTATTTTTATTTCGTTTTATAAAATAAAATAAAATACTAACATTTAATATATGGGGAGACCATACAACGTGTAGAGAAATTTATAAATACATATAGATATATTAGAGGTGACTGCTTGAGAAAGTTTTACTAAATAAATGTATAATCAGAAAAGCCTAAGGCCAGCTACTCATGCCTGTAATCCCAGCACTTTGGGAGGCCGAGGTGGGTGGATCACGAGGTCAGGAGTTCAAGAACAGCCTGGCTAAGAGGGTGAAACCCCGTTTCCACTAAAAATACAAAAATTAGCTGGGCATGGTGGCAGGCGCCTGTAGTCCTAGCTACTCTGGAGGCAGAGGCAGAGAATTGCTTGAACCTGGGAGGCGGATGTTCCAGTGAGCCGAGATTGTACCACTGGACTCCAGCCTGGGCAACAGAGCGAGGCTCCATCTAAAAAAAAAAAAAAGTCTGGAGGCAACTGGCATAAAGGCTAAAATCTGAGTTCCTTAACGCAGCATGCATAGCAAACTCCAGCTTCAACTTCCTACTGCTCCACACAAGGAACTCCACAAACTAGTAACAGCAGTTGGTGTTTAGTTCCTTGATTCACATCATGCTATTTTATGTTTCTGTATATGTCCTTCCGTCAGAAACACTCTTTTCACATGTTTTTGAATGATCTTTTCAAGGATATTTGCACTGGGAACAGCCTCGGAAGGTAAGGTAGCTTTTCAAATTCAATCTCCTGCAAAACCGCATTCAGTGACCATCAACTTCAAGAACCATCTCTTGAACTTTCACGACAGGCTAAGTGCACCTCAGTGTGCTCTCAGAGCACCCCTTGAATGTTGCTGTCATTGGCTGGGTGCGGTGGCTCACACCTGTAATCCCAGCACTTTGGGAGGCCAAGGCAGGTGGATCATGAGGTCAGGAGTTTGAGACCAGCCTGGGCAATATGGTGAAACCCCATCTCTACTGAAAATACAAAAATTAGCTGGCACATGGTGGCGGGCGCCTGTAAACCCAGTTACTGGGGAAGCTGAGGAACCAGAATCGCTAGAACCTGGGAGGTGGAGGTTGCAGTGAGCCGAGATCACACCACTGCTCTCCAGCCTGGGTAACAAGCAAGACTCCATCTCAAAAAAAAAAAAAGTTGCTGTTGCTGTCGTCACTTATATCCCATGCTATGAAAAATACTGTTTATGCCAGGCACAGTGGCTCACGCCTGTAATCCCAGCATTTTGGGAGGCCAAGGCAGGCAGATAACCTGAGGTCAGGAGTTGGAGACCACCCTGGCCAACATGGCAAAACCCGTCTCTACTAAAAATACAAAAAAATTGGCCGGGCGTGGTGGTGCACGGCTGTAATCCCAGCTACTCAGGAGGCTAAGGCAGGAGAATCACTTGAACTCAGGAGTCGGAGGTTGCAGCGAGCCAAGACTGTGCCACTGCACTTTATCCTGGGTGACGGAGTGAGACCCAATCTAAGAAAGAAAAAGAAAGGAAGGAAGGAAGGAAGGAAAGAAGGAAGGAAAAATACTGTTTCTGTGTCATGCGTCTTTATGCATTGTTTCTTCTATTCATTGGAAGCATTTTGGGTCAAGAATCATGTTTTATTTATCTTGGGATTTCTAGGATCTATAAGAGTATCTGTTACAAGATTGGGACCCAGTAAATGTTTGCTGAACTCTTATATGCTACAGAAGAAATAGCTAGAAAGCTATTGCATGTGGGCGGCAAGCCACCCAGGTGCCGAGGCAAGAGACCAAGGCAACAAGCTGTTCCAGTATAATAAAATATATAAAATAAGAATAGTTATACTAGATATAGATCATAGATATGATTATATATGAATATCATTAATCATTAGTTTGTAGCAATTACTCTTTATTCCAATATTATAATAATCCTTGCTCTATGATCATAACCTAGGAAAAACTAGGCCATACAGAGACAGGACATAGTGAGAAGTGACCAGAAGACAAGAATGCGAGCCTTCTGTCACGCCCAGACAGGGCCACCAGAGGGCTCCTTGGTCTAGTGATAACGCCAGCGTCTGGGAAGACGCCCGTTGCCAAGTGGACTGTGGTCTAGCGGTAGCGTCAGTGCCAAGGAAAAACACCCACTACTTAGCAGACTGGGAAAGGGAGTCTCCCTTTCCCTGGTGGAGTTTAGAGAAGACTCTACTCCTCCACCTCTAGTGGAGGGCCTGACATCAGTCAGGCCTGCCCACAGTTATCTGGAGGCCTAACCATCTCCCTGTGATGCTGTGCTTTAGTGGTCACACTCCTAGTCCACTTTTATGTTCCATCCTGTACACCTGGCTCTGCCTTCTAGATAGCCGTAGCAAAATTAGTGAAAGTACTAAAAACCTCTGATATGAAGAAATAATGGCGTAGGCTGTGTCCTCTCTCTCTCTCTGTCTCTCCACCTCGGCTGCCAAACAGGGAAGGGCCCCCTGTCCAGTGGACACATGACTCATGTGACCTTGTCAATCATTAGAGATGACTCACACTCCTTACCCTGCCCCTTTTGCCTTGTATCCAATAAATAACAGCGCAGCCAGGCATTCAGGGCCACTACCGGTCTCCGCATCTTGGTGGTAGTGGTCCCCCAGGCCCAGCTGTCTTTTCTTTTATCTCTTTGTCTTGTGTCTTTATTTCTACAATGTCTCATCTCCGCACACGGGGAGAAAAACCCTCCGACCCTGTGGGGCTGGTCCCTACAATTGTAAAAGCCCAGATGTGTGTGTAAGGAGAAAAAAACAAATTCTTGGTGCCTTCATTTTTCAATTTCATGTAAACTGTGGAGAAACACTTAATTGTAAAGGGTCTGAGGTTTACTCTACTTGCAATCTAATGAGTTACATTATCATTGTTTCATGGATGTTGGCAAAAGACACAAGACTCCTAGGCTAAAAAAGGGAAAAGTTGTATACTGAGTGGATTTTCTTCATAGCTATGGAAGCTGGAGCTTAGGAAACTCCAGTCATTTATAATGGACCTTGTATTAGTCTGTTTTCATGCTGCTGATAAAGACACACCTGAGACTGGGCATATACAAAAGAAAGAGTTTTAATGGACTTACAGTTCCACATGGCTGGGGAGGCCTCACAATCATGGCTGGAAGTAAAAGGCACATCTCACATGGCGGCAGACAAGAAAAGAGAACTTGTGCAGGGAAACTCCCCTTTGTGAAACCGCTAGATCTCATGAGACCTATTCACTATCACGAGAATAGCATGGGAAAGGCCTACCCCCATGATTCAATTAACTCCCACCAGGTATCTCCCACAACACATGGGAATTGTGGGAGCTACAATTCAAGATGAGATTTGGGTGAGGTCACAGCCAAACCATATCAGACCTCAAGTAAGTTTGCTCAAACTTTGTCCTAAAAGTAGTCATTATTTTAATTTTCCTAAACACCAAGAAAACCTGCCCTCTACCACAGAGGGAAAAGCTACCTTAACTTCCAAAGCTGTTCACAATGGCAATATCCTTGAAAAGATCATTTGAAAGAAAAGCTGCCAGAGTCTCTGTTTACACCACATGTGAATATATGAAATACTCCTGGGGAATCATCTCCCAAATACAAGTAAAGTATCCTAAAATATACGAGAAGGTCCTAGAGCATTTGATTTGACCAAGCTTGTGAGAGTCTACTTAAAATGAACTGTTCTTATTCTTCTGTTTTAACTGGACTTTCACTCATTTATTAAGTTTAAAAATGATCCTCCCACTGATCCAAAATTAATTTGAAGCTTTGAAAAAGGAATTACTTTTATGCTAGAAAACAACTATTTTTACTTCCCTCAAACCCAAGTTATTCAATAACTATATTATCTGTGTATATATTTACATCCTTAAGAACAGGGATCTTTGACTCTCCCACCAGGCATAGAAAAGAGGTTTATCCTTGAAGAGTTTATATCTGAAATGGACATGCCCTGTGAAGTAGTGAGTGCCAAAACACTGAGACTCTTGAAAACTTGTATCTGGATTTTGATGGTGATGTTACAAAACTTGAAACTTTTGGAGTAACCACCACCAAAGCATCAAAGCCAAGAAGTCCAGCAAGTACTTCCACAGTAACTAACGTGACAGATGCTCCTACAGCCCCCAAAGCAGGAACTACACCTGTGGCACCAAGTGCACCAGACATTTCTGCTAATTCTAGAAGTTTATCTCAGATTCTCATTGAACAGTCGCAAAAGGAGAAACAACTGGTCACTGGTATGGATGGTGGCCCTAAAGAGTGCAAAAATAAAGATGACCAGGGATTTGAATCATGTGGCAAAAAGGTATCAAATACTGACAAGTCTTCGAGGCAAGATAGTGACTTGAAAACATCTGATGCCTTACAGTTAGAAAATTCTCAGGAAATTGAAACTGCTAATAAATATGATATGACTATAGATATGGTACATGTTGATGCTGAAAGACCCAATGTTCTGGAAAACCTAGACAACTCAAAGGAAAAGACTGTGACATCAGAAGCAGCTAAAACTGAAGATACAGTTCTCTGCAGCAGTGATACAGATAAGGAGTGTTTAATTATTGATACAGAGTGTAAAAATAATAGTGACGGAAAGACAGCTGTCATGGGTTCCAACTTAAATTCTTGACCAGCTAGCCCAAATTCTTCCTCAGGACAGGCTTCTGCAGAAAACCAGACTAATACTGCTTGTAGTCCAGAAGAGTCATGTGTTTTTATTTTTTTACTTTTTATTTATTTAATTTTTTTTGAGGCGGAGTTTCTTTCTTGTTGCCCCAGGCTGGAGTGCAGTGGCACGATCTCAGCTCACTGCAACCTCTGCCTCCCAGGTTCAAGCAATTCTCCTGCCTCAGCCTCTCAAGTAGCTGGGATTACAGGCATGCGCCACCACACCCAGCCATTTTTTTTTTTTTTTTTGTATTTTTAGTAGAGATGGGCTTTCTCCACATTGGTCAGGCTGGTCTCGAACTCCTGACGTCAGGTGATCCACCTTCCTCAGCCTCCCGAAGTGTTGGGATTACAAGCGTGAGCCACCACGCCTGGCAAGTCATGTATTTTTTTTTAAAAAAACCTATCAAATGAGTATATAAAAAATTTGATCCTGTTGGAGAAATTTTTAAAATGCAGGATGAGCTCTTAAAGCCAATTTCCAGAAAAGTACCCAAATTGCCCTTAATGAATTTAGAAAATTCTAAACAGCCCTCTGTTTCTGAGCAACGGTCTGTCCCTTCAGATGCCTCTAGTTGGCCGAAATTGGATGGCCTTCTGCATTTCAGAAGCCAAAAGGACGATTGCCATATGAACTTCAGGACTATGTTGAAGATACGTCGGAATACCTAGCTCCTCAGGAAGGAAACTTTATTCATAAGTTATTTAGCCTGCAAGACCTGTTGTTACTCATGTGCTGCAGTGTCCGGAGGATGGAGACAAGACCACGTTCTAAGAAACAGAAGAAAATCGGAAAACAATTTCCAGTTTATGTACTACCAGAAGTAGAGAATCAAGCTGGTTATGGAGTTGAAGCTCTGACTGAAAGTGAACGTTGTCGCTTGTGGACTGGAAGTTGATTGCATTCCAACAGATATTTTACATTGGCCATATCGATGCATTTACTTCAAAGCTTTTTCTACTGGAAGAAATTACCTCAGAAGCATTAAAAGAAAAGCTTTCAGCACTCAAGATTTCCAATGTATTTAACATTCTCCAACACATTCTAAAGAAATTAAGTAGCTGGCAGGAGGGTTCCTACTTGTTATCTCAGGCAGCAGAAGATTCTTCACTCCCAATCCATAAGACCTCTGATGGAAAAGTTACTAGGACAGCATACAATTTGTATAAAACACATTGCAGCCTTCCTGATGTACCTTCCAGTCTCTCAGTTCTCTGGGTCCGATTAGATCCTAGCCTGTTATGACCATATCATATCCATCATGGAAGAATAACTTGTACTTTTCCACCTAAATCACTGGATACCACAACACAACAAAAGGTTGGTGGAACGAGAATACCTACAGGCAGCCACAGGAATCCAGTTTCCATAGAAACCAAAAGCAGTTGCTTGCCTGCTCAGCAAGTTGAAACTGAAGGAGTGGCTCCGAATAAAAGAATAACTTGAGGACTGCACCGTGGAAAATTAAATTTCAAAAAAAAAAACAAACCCAGTTATAACAATGTTTAATTTAGAAAAGTTTGAGGGAAAATATGACTAAAAGCTCAGTAGGCAAGAGGAACATTTTTCCTGTAGTATCCTCACGAGTTCTTAGAGTGTCTTGAAAAAATATGTTGGCTATGTGAAAGAATGCTTCAACTAAAATGGAATGTTATGCTGTTCACTCCTAAACTTTGAGGAGCATCTTGATATGTTTTAACATTATCATGGCAGGGAAATATATAAAGAAGAAAAATATTTTTACATTAAACCTTTTCTAAAAATTGTAAATAGAAAAATAATTTGATTTTTTATCAAGAATGACACTTATCAATATATATTATGTTATATTGCCAATCTGTTGAGATTGACTCAAAAGGTTAAATATTGCCACTGTTGAAGATAATTATGAGTATCGCAAACCTTGTTTCTGACCCATTTTGATAGTTTCTATATACGCCTTTAAAATGATGAATGTTGCGGGTTAATAAAGTTAATACCTTTAAAACTTGGTGAAATACCATTACAGAAGCCAAAAATAAAAACTCCCTGCCTCTGAAAAAAAGGGAGGTTTTTCTTCCTTTCCTTTATTTATTTTTGGTTTACATATTTAATTATAACCTATAACACTATATTATTTATTCAAAATTGCTTCTAGATATATCATTGATCAATATTGTCCTATCCAGATGTCATCAAGAAGGCTGATAAGAGATGCCCAGTGCTCTCCTACTCCACAAAGGACCAAAACAATTAGAAAACAACACATCAAATAGAGTGTATAGGAGAAAACACTGGAATTCAGCAAGAAAGTGATAAAGACCTTCTGATGCACAGAGACTGGAGATGGCAGCATAAAGAGGAAAGTGAAGAGCCTGGCTGGGATCGGCTCATCCCAAGAGACACTCCTCACCACACAGAAAGAGGTAAGTTGATCCCCAGGAATAAATTTATAGAAATAAATGCCTGCTTTAAAAAAGTAGAAAGATTTCAAATAAACAATCTAACAATGCACATCAATGAACTAGTAAAGGAAGAACAAACTAAACCCAAAATTTTAAACTAGAAAATAAATAAATAAAGATCAGAGCAGAACTAAACATAGTAGAGACTAAAAAAAAATTACAAAAGATCGATGAAATGAAAACTTGCCTTTTTGAAAAGACAAACAAAAATTGATAAACTGTTAGCTAAACTAAGAGAAGAGAGAGAAGACCCAAATAAATAAAATCAGAAACAAAAAAGAAGACTAACAACTGAGACCACAGAAATACAAACAATCATTAGAGACTATTATGAACAACTATCCACCAGCAAATAGGAAAAACTAGAAGAAATGAATAAATCCCTGCACACATACAACCTACCAACATGAAACCATGAAGAAAAAGAAAACCTCAACAAACCAATAATGGGCAATATGATTGAAGCCATCATAAAAAGTCTCCCATCAAAGAAAAGCCCAGGACCTGGTGGCTCCACTGCTGAATTCTCCCAAAGATTTAAAGAACTAATACCAATTTGACACAAGCTCTTCAAAAAAATGGAAGAGAAGGGATCATTTCCAAACTTCTTCTAGCAGACCAGCATTACTCTGCTACCCAAACCAGACCAGGACACAAAAGCAATAGCGACAAAACTACAGATCAGTATCCCTGATGCACCTAAATGCAAAAATCCTGAACAAAATACCAGCAAACTGAATCTAACAGCACATCAAAAAAATTATACACCCATGTTCAAATGGGATTAGTCCTAAAAACGCAAGGATGTTTTGGTATACCCAAATCAATAAATGTGATACATCACATCAACGGAATTAAGGGCAAAAGCCATAGGATCATCTCAATAGATACAGAAAAAGCACCTGATAAAACTCAACATCCCTTCATGACAAAAAATTCTCAATAAATTAGGCATGGAAGGAGTGTACCTCAAAATAATAAAGGCCGTATGTAACAAACCCACAGCTGACAGCATACTGAATGGGGAAAAACTTTTCCTCTAGGAGCTGGAACCAGACAAGAACGCCCATTTTCACTACTCTTATTCAACACTGTACTGGAATTCCTAGCCAGGGCAGTTAAGCAAGAGAAAGCAATACAATACAGCAAAATTGGAAAAGAGAAAATCAAATTGTCCCTCTTTGCAGATGACATAATCTTATATAGAGAAAAACCTAAAGACTTCACCACAGAATTCTTGGAACTGATCAGTGAATTTGGTAAAGTTGCAGAATATAAAATCAACATATAAGAATTAATAGCAAGTCTATATACCAATAACAAACTAGCTGAAGAAATCAAAAAAGCAATCCCATTTTTAATAGCTACAAAAAAATAAAGTACCTAGAAATAAATTTAACCAAGGAGATAAAAGACCTCTACAATGAAAACTACAAAACACCGATGAGAAAAATTGAAAAGGACACACCCACCAAAAAAGAAAAATTCCATGTTCAGATTGGAACAGTCAATATTGTTAAAATGACCATCTTAATCAAAGCAAGCTACAGATTTAGTGCAATTCCTGTTGCTACCAAAGCACAGGGGTTCAGTCTAGGTCCTGCTGCTTGCCACACAGAAAGCCAGTCACTGAAACAATGAGTATTGCCAAGGAAGAAGGATTTAACGGAGTGCTGCAGCAAAGGAGATGGGAGATTAGTATCAAATCCATTTCCCTGACTGGCTATAACTAGTGGTTTATATAGCAGGGAAGAAATGTGACAATGTCTAAGAAAAGGGAGGAACTAGGGAGGAGCAAGAAAGTAATCATGATGAATGAGGGGTTTGGCATCTCATTGTCTGGATGTGGTGATCAGGTGAGTTTCAGTTCTTTGATACTTTTTTTGAGACGGAGTCTCACTCTGTCACCCAGGCTGGAGTGCAGTGGTGCGATCTCTGCTCACTGCAGGCTCCCCCCCCCCGGGTTTTCGCCATTCTCCTGCCTCAGCCTCCTGAGTAGCTGGGACTATGGGCACCCGCCACCTCGCCCAGCTAATTTTTTGTATTTTTAGTAGAGACGGGGTTTCACCATGTTAGCCAGGATGGTCTCGATCTCCTGACCTCGTGATCCGCCCGCCTCGGCCTCCCAAAGTGCTGGGATTACAGGCGTGAGCCACTGCGCCCGGCCTCTTTGATACTTTTTTTGAGAGCCCTGAATGTCATCCTGAGGAAGGAACACAGATAAAACAAATGCAAGCTTCAAGCTTTAAGAACAGAAGGATCAAATTCTATGTTTATCCAAAAAAAAGCTATCTATGGGACTACTGGACTGGTTTCACTATCAAAATACCAATGATATTCCTCACAGAAATAGAAAAAATATTCCAAATCTTGTATGGAACCACAAAATACCCTGAATAGCTAATGCAATTCTAAGCACAAAGAACAAAGCTGGAAGTATTATACTACCTGTCCTCAAAATATACTACAAAGCTCTAGTAATCAAAACAGCATGACACTGGTATAAAAGCAGACACATAAACCAATGGAACAGACTAGAAAACCCATAAATAAATTCTCTTATTTACAGTCACCTGACTTTTTGACAAAGTCACCAAAAACGTTGAAAAGTGGATATGCATATGCAGAAGAATAAATCTAGACCTCTCTCTCTCTCTCTCACACCATACATGAAAATAAATTCAAAATGGATTAAAGACTTAAGTTTAAGACCCAAAACTATACAATTCCTAGAAGACAACATGGGGGAAACACTTTAGGACTTGAGACTGGGTGAAGCTTTTATAGGTAAGACTTTACAAGTACAAGCAACAAACGTAAAAATAGACAAATGAGACTATATCAAACTAAAAACCTTATGCACAGCAAAGGAAGTAATCAACAGAATAGAAAGACCACTTTAGGATGGGAGAAAATATTTGCGAACTATTCATCCAACAAGAGATTAATGCTCAGAATATACAAGGAATTCAAACAACAGCAAAAAAATAAAAAAGCAAAAAAAAATCTGATTTTACAGTGGCCAAAGAATCTGAAAGACATTTCTCAAAAAAGGACATACAAATGGGCAAAAAGAACATTTTAAAAAATGACGTCACTAATCATTATGGAAATGCAAATCAAAACCACAATGAGATATTCTCTTGTCCCAGTTAAAATGGCTACTATCAACAAGACAAAAATAACAGATGCTGGTGAGGATGCAGAGAAAAGGGAGCTCCTACATACTGTTGGTGGGATTGTAAATTAGTATGGCCATTATGAAAAACCGTATGGAGTTTCCTCGAAAAACTAAGAATAGAACTACCATATGATCTAGCAATCCCTCTACTCGCTATTCATCCAAAAGAAAGAAAATCAGTATCTCAAAGAGATATCTGCACTCCCATGTCTACTGAAGCACTATCCACAATAGCCAAGATATGGAGTCAGCCTAAGAGTCTATCATCAGATGAGTGGATAAAGTGTGGTAACTACACACAATGATATACTATTCTGTCATAAAAAAGAATGAAGTCTTGTCACTCACAGCAACAAGGATGAGCCTGGAGGACATTATGTTAAATGAAATAAGTCAGACACAAAAAGATAAATACCGCATGTTCTCACCCATGTATGGGAGCTAAAACATTGAGCTCTAGAAGCAGAGAGTAGAGTTATGGTTACTGTCAGTTGGAGACTATAGGAGGAGAGAAGGATAAGGAGAGATACAAAATTACAACTGGATAGGAGTCAGCTCTAGTTTCTATAGCCCTGTAAGGGTGATGATAGTTAACAATAATTTATTGTGTATTTTCAAATAGCTAGAAAAGAGGATTTTGAATATTCCCAACACAAAGAAATGATAAATTCTTTGTGTTATACATGATAGATATGCTAATTACCACAATATGGTAATTATACATTACATCCATGTATGGAAATATCTCTTTGTATTCCGAAATATGTACAATTATTACATGTCATTTAAAAGCAATTTTAAAAAATAAAATTAAATTTGGGAGCAGGGGTGGAAGTACAGGTTGCAAGTGACAGGAGCCAAAGTCCAACTGAAGGAAATTCAGTGGCGAGAAGATCCACGAGGTTTCACTGCCAAGGTACCTGGAGTTGATCTAGTCCCTCCCTATTCTCTACTTTACCACATCTCCATGAGATAACCTAGTGTTCTCCCAATAGGTTCGCTTAGATTCGCTTTTTGTTTAAATCTAGTCAGAGTTGGTTCATTTGCTTTAAACCGAAAGAGCAACTAAAATACACAGCAAGTTGGAATGAAGCAAACTGAAAATGAATAGTAGCTATTGATAAAATGCCTTCCTGGGTTTTGCAAACAGCTGTCAATAATACCTAATCTAATATCTTGAAATAAAGTGTGGCATTTAATTAACAAAAAGTATCCTCTCTGCTGTCCAGGGTTATGGTTCTCTCACCTTAGTGTGTATGAGAACCACGTGAAGTCATGAGTACAGCACGAGTTCCCAAGTCTCCAAAGGCTCTGATTCCCCAATCTTAATTGGGGTCTGTGTCTTTAACGAGATCCCAGCTGGGCACAGTGGCTCATGCCTGTAATCCCAGCACTTTGGGGAGGCCCAGCAGGTGAATCACTAGGTCAGGAGATTGACACCATCCTGGCCAACATGGTGAAACCCCGTCTCTATTAAAAATACAGAAATTAGCTGGGCGTGGTGGCATGTGTGCCTGTAATCCCAGCTACTTGGCAGGCTGAGGCAGGAGAATCGCTTGAACCAGAGAGTAGAAGGTTGCAGTGAGCCGAGATTGTGCCACTGCACTCCAGCCTGGGCAACAGAGCATGACTCCATCTCAAAAAAAAAGAAAAAAAAAAGATACCTATATGATTCTGAGATAGCATTGTACTTTTAAGACTACAGACACAATTATTACAAATTAAAAAATAATAATGTGCCGTGTTTTAGGTGAAATAACTCGTAACAGATTTTTTCTTAATGGAAAAGTCACAAATGATAACACAGAAGCTAGGAGCCTTGGGAAGAAAGCAGAGGAAGAGTTAAAGTACAGTACTGTTGGTTCAAATATTCAAAAAGAAATATCCAGAAGACAGCTTGGAAATTCTAGATTGGATCACAGCGTGGAGGTTCTGCTGGCTACTTTGATTTGAGAGTCATGTGTGTGAGTGACACCCTGAGAACAAGGATCTTCTAGCAACCTTAGTGATGGATGAGAGAGGAAAGGTGGACCTCAGCAACACCATATAGAGGCAGGAGCATGGGAGAAAGGAGCCTAGGATTGATAACGGCGGGTAACAAGAGAGGCAGAAATAAAACATAGCAGTATGCTTTCACGGAAGCCAAAAGAGGATGTGCAATCAAGAATGGATGATAGGGCCGTGAGCGGTGGCTCATGCCTGTAATCCCAGCACTTTGGGAAGACGCGGCGGGTGGATCACGAGGTCAGGAGTTCAGGACCAGCTTGGCCAAGATGGTGAAAACCCGTCTCCACTAAAAATACAAAAAAATTAGCTGGGTGTGGTGACGGGCGCCTGTAATCCCAGCTGAGGCAGAGAATTGCTTGAACCCAGGAGGTGGAGGTTGCAGTGAGCCTAGATTGCACCACTGAACTCCAGCCTGGGCGAGAGACTGAGACTCAGTTTCAAAAAAAAAAAAAAAAATAGGTGATACCTGTAGCCTGTTATTAAATGAATAACTAAATAGGTGGAAAGGAACATCTCTGTCCTACAGTGTTTCTAGTCCCAGACCATGCTCTTCCTATTCAAACTTTAAATTTATCACCTCTAACATCTTGTTATAAAGCTTTTTTTTTTTTAAATCAAGTTTAGTTTTCTTCTGGGTTGAAAGGCACTCAAAAACTAATAACAAAAATATAACATTTCATTTATTTTGATGCAATTAGGATTTCTTTCTAATACACAGTTTAGGGCCTTGGAAATGTTCATCCATCTTAGATAATGGAATTCTAAACCAAACTTCCATGGGTGTGATTTAATCATGTAATTTTCCCCTTAAAATACCCAGTTGAATCAAGTGATATTTAATTTCCTCGCTTTGTATGAAAACATTTTCCTCCCATGCTACCTTTCTCTTTATTCCATGAACACATTATTCTAAAGCACTGTGAAGCCTGCAAATGAAAGCCTCGCACAGACATGAGGAGCAGGGACCATCCCCACCCGTGTCCTGGTGCACCTGTCCCTTTCTATGGAGCAGGGACCATCCCCACCCATGTCCTGGTGCACCTGTCCCTTTCTATGTGTGCCTCATTCATCACTAGGCTTAGTCTTCCCATCTCTTTCGAGACAGCTACTATTTTCTACATGTTTCACTCTGTACTATAAAAGTTAAAAAAGTAAACGTGATATTATGGAAAGTGTTTCCTTGGCCAAAGCAAAGATATTGAGCACAAAAAGCCCTCTGCATTCTTGGTTCACTCTGTTGTGGGACTGATGGTTACCAGCATGTTGAGGGAAACGGCGACACTTGGTACCACAGTGAGATGCAAATGATTCCCTTCGAGAAAGAAAGACAGACTTACTGTGTAATTTTCTTTGTTTTGATGGCCATTGGCGCCATTAAATTGATAGTTATTCCTAACAGACGACTGCTGTTTGAAAATAGAATAGCCAACAGCCTTGTTCATAACCAGTGGTCAAAGTACCTTAGGGGGCTAGGAAAAGCAGGACATTAGAAACCGGGAAACGGCCATTTGCAGTGACTTTGCCCTACTACACAGTAATGAAAGAGCAGATATTAACAAGCCTTGCCCAAAAAGGACCACACTGTAGGGACCATTACCTCTTCAGATGCATGCAGCGGGGTCAGTCCTAGTCCTCCGAGGAAGCATGTGAGCATTATTTCTCTCTTGACCGGAATCCTGGAATGCACAGCTCCAGAGAAATGCCACCCAGAATCACAGTGTGCATTCACAATGCTAGGTAAACAAGAGGGCTGGGAGTTGAGACTCTGCACAGGGCTCAGACAACTGCATGCTGCACAAGTACAAAGCACAGAGCAGGGCAAAATGAGAAGGAAAAGTCCATTGTGAAAACCTAGAAGATCCACAATCTTAGTGAACTCAGAGAGAGGGCAGAGCAGGACTAGAGATGGAAGACTGAGACCTTGAAGAGGATTCTCAGGCGCCGAGAAAACCCAGAAGTGAATTTCTCCCTGAAGACTCTGCTGAGCACAGGGGCCTTCTGTGCAGGCCAAGGTGCTCACCAAAGGGCTACGGGCTACATTCAGCAGAGTGTAAGGCCCTGTCAGTGGCACCCTGACAGGAGACCAGAAACAAAAGTATCAGACCCTTGCGTGTCAAACAATAAAACTCAAAGCTCCGTACATGCCTCTCTGACTTCAGTCTTTCTCCTTCCATCAGATACAAGCCTCTCTGACTTCAGTCTTTCTCCTTCCATCAGATTTAGAGAGGTCAAGCTGTGATATGAGAAAATACAGGGCAGTAGAAGAAGACAGATATAGTGGACACCCTCCCACTAACGATGCCACCATCCTTCACAGTGGGAGACGTTGTTTCTTTCCTCTTGTATTTGGGGACGAAATCCAAGAGGATGTGCATGCTCACTTGCCGGCTTGGCAACCATTGAACAAGACGTCAAGACGGGCCATCTTAAAGGTGTGGGACTGGCTAAGAATATTGGCTAATGACAATTTATATTAAACTCTCATTCCCTGAATATTTTTCAAAAGAAAAGAAATAGGGTGAAAGACCTTGGAAATGAGTCCCTTGGTGAATGAGTGCCCCGTGGGAGGAAATATGAAGATCTAGTGCATTATTTTGTGGTAATTAAGTTATGCAGTAGAGGGGCTGGGCATAGTGGCTCACGCCTGTAATCCCAGCACTTTGGGAGGCCAAAGGATCACCTGAGGTCAGGAGTTCAAGACCAGCCTGGCCAACATGGTGAAACCCCTTCTCTACTAGAAATACAAAACTTAGCCAGGTGTGGTGGCAGGCACCTGGGATCCCAGCTTCTAGGGAGGCTGAGGCAGTAGAATTGCTTGAACCTGGGAGGCAGAGGTTGCAGTGAGCCAAGATCGCACCACTGCACTCCAGCCTGGGACACAAAGCGAGACTCCGTCTCAAAAACAAAAGAAAAAAAAAGTTAATCACTGTAGAAAATCAACGTGCAGGAACCATCTTGGGTTTTGCTCTAACGTAATGGTTAATTATCACTCTCTTTCTCCTTCTGCATCCTTCGGAAGTCCAATAACCATAGCTAGAGCCTCTGTGACACTGTACATCGTGTGTGTGTGTGTGTGTGTGCACGCGCGCACATCTTTCAGTTAGTGTCTTATGAACAGCTACTTAAATAAAATTTTCTTTCCATATTGTAGATCCTAGATTTGAAGGGGCGCCACCAGGAAGACGTTTGTGGGTAGGACACGTCTGTGGTGTATTCAGAGTGCTTGGAAAGGCAGCGTGTTGACCCACAACAGAGCAGGCGGTTGGGGTTGTTCTGCATGGAGACACAGGGCTGGAAAACGCTAACAGAAGCAGCTATGTCAGGTGGGAGGCAGGGTGTTCTGTTTCAGAATTTTAGATAGGGTTTTCCATGAAATTAGCATGGTTCATTCATTTGTGTCACAAAGTGACATACTCCCCTGCCATCTCCCTTCCACGCTACAGAATTTTAAAGTAATAATGCATATGAACTTTGTGAAGATGCCTAAATTTCAAATCCAACTTTCCATTGTGATTTTCCAATAACTTCTTTACATTAGAAATGTCGTCCATTTTTATTCATTTATTTATTTAGAAAATATTTATCAAATGCCAACTATGTTCCAAGTACTGTTGTAGAAGCTGAGAACACAGCAATGAACAAAACAGATAAAATGGGGAAATGGGTTTCAGCTCATTGGTAACTACATAAAAATCTATAGCACTGACTTCTTTCATACGCCCCTCCTATTTCTGATCGAACCCTAATCTCAGTTCCCCCTTGAGGACCATGCTTATGTTTCATAACTCCCTGTGGTAGGCTGGACTCTACCACCCACCCCAGGATAGCCAGTTCCTAATCTCTAGAACCTTAGAACCTGGGAAAATTGCCTTATATGATGTAATGAGTAGTCTGGCCTCCCTCCCTTTTTTTTTTTTTTTTTTTTTTTTTTTTTTTTTTTTTTGAGGAAGGGTCTCACTCTGTCACCCAGGCTGGAGTGCAGTGGTGTGAGCTCGGCTCACTGCAACCTCTGCCTCCTGAGCTCAAGTGATTCTTCTGCCTCAGCCTCCCAAGTAACTGGGATTACAGACTACAGGCATGTGCCGCCACCCCTGGCTAACTTTTATATTTTGGTAGAGACAGGGTTTCACCATGTTGGCCAGGCTGGTCTCAGACTCCTGGCCTCAAGTGCTGGGCCTCCCAAAGTTCTGGGCCTCAGCTTCCCAGCTAGGATTATAGGCATGAGCCACCAGGCCCAGACTGGCCCCATTTCTTGATGTTTGACTCCTGACAGCTTCTAGGCCTCACCCCTTGGTATTCCTTTATGCCCGCATCTGGATAAGCCAACAGGAAAGATGGGGAGCCCCCTCCCTTGGCACTGGTGGGGGAGTCAAACCATACGAGCCCTTCCCACACATGGGAACTTTGACCCCACCCCAGCCCCACCCCTAACCACTATAACATCTTGGGCCAGTCTTCTTCCCTTGCTTTCTTAGGTCACATTGGATCTGCTTGTGAGGCCCACCTGCTCTCCCCAGAAGCCTGAAGTATGTGAGTAATGAACCTTTCATACCCCCTTAGCTTGTGTGTGGCATCATCAGCCTCAACATTCAAATCAAACCTCAGGGGCCCATATGTCTTTGCAGGTGACCATAACATATGGCAAGAAAAGAAAGCCTTTGCAGATATGATTATGTTCTCAAGATGGGGAGATCGTCCTGGATTGTTCAGATGGACCCTGAATGCAATCACACATCACACATATTCTGTTACGAGATGAGGAGGGAGATTTTAGGGCACACAGAGGAGAAAGAGATATGAAGACAGAGCAGAGGGAGATCAAAAAATGTTGACCCTAAATATTGGAGTGATGTGGCCACAAGCCAATGAATGCTGGCAGTCACCAGAAGCTGAGAGACAAGGAACCGGTTTCCTTATGGAGCCACCAAGGGAGGGTGACAGTGCTGACACCCTGATTTTGGCCCATTGATACTGACTGCAGACTTCTGGCTTCCATAATTGTGAGAGAATAAATGTTTGTTGATTGAAGGCATTAAGTGCATGGTGTTTTGCTACAGAAGTCCTAGGAAAGTACTACACTGTCAACTGAGGGCTGTTTTTCCCTTTCACACCCTGCACACTACTGGGCTGCCTCAAGCCCATTTGCCCTGGTTCCTGCTAAAAGCTCCAGTTCCATCAAGGCTCATGTCAGGGGACTGGGCCTTCTGTCACTCTCCCTAGTCATTTACCATCCCCTTCATCACGGGTGATTCTTGTGTCTGGCTTGCTGTTTTTCTCACCATCGCTATTCCTGGTGATTTTTCTACCCGTGTAAATGATCTGTCTTCGTCCATTTTGGCTGCTGTAGCAAAATACTGTAGATTGGGTGGTTTATGAACAACAGTAATGTCTTCCTCACAGTTCTGGAGGCTGGAGAGTTTGAGATCCAGGTGCCGGCAGGTGTGGTGTCTGGTGACAGCCCGCTACCTAGTTCACTGCACACTGCATCCTCACGGTGGAGAGGAAAGAAGGCCCTAGGCTTTCTTGTATAAGGCATGAACTTCACTCACAAGGGTTCTGCCCTCATGATCCCGTCGCATCCCAAAAGGCCCCGCCTCCTAATGCCATCACCTTGGAGATGAGGGTTTCAACATAGGAATCTAGAGGGACACAAGCATCCAGACCACAGCAGGTTTTACCAATACCCAGGACTCTTGGTTCTTTGTCCTCTATTCTGCTCATCTAGCCTCTTCCAGTTTGTCTCTTGTGATAACACGCTGGACTTTTTTTCATATCCAGACTCACTCTGTCTCCTCCATAATCTTTTCTTGCTGTCTCCTTCAGCGTTTTGGCCCCCATTCTAAATATTTTGAACCCACAAAGCCCGCACTCTATTAATTGCACCCCTCCAGCTCTCAGTTCCTTCATTTCCCAGCGTCAATCTTACATCAGTCATTGTCACCACCCCCTTCTATTTACTCTCGATTACCTTGCCCTTTTTCCTGTGCCACATCTGCCTAGTAAAACCACCACAATGATTACATATGGCCTGTGCCTGTTTGTGCTCACACCCAAGGACTTGGAAATGAATACAGAAAAACATTAAACCTGCTGGTTGGCCTCACGTTAAATATACAGGAATGAACTCAAGCAGGCACTCAGGACTGCCCAACAGTGTCACAAGAGTCATTAAGTTCATTTACTCTCCCTCCACCAAAGTGACTTTCACACCACCCCTTCTCAACTCTCCACCATGCCCGCCCCGCACCTCTTTGCCTAACTGTGACTTGATCCTTATTTCACTGAGAAGTTTGAAAGCAATCAGAAGAGAATGTCTACAAATTTCCACTAGCGAGGAAACCACTTCAGCTGCACTGGACCTGTGCGCTTTGCCTCTCCTCCTGGTAAAACAGGTGACCTACTTATGCTGTCTCTAAAGCAAAACTGATTTCACATGGAGTAGATCCCATCCCCTCTTATTGATTCCTCTAAGAATTTTCCCATGTGCTTCTCCCCTTTTCCTCCTGGATCATACGTTTTTGCCTTCTCTAAGAGAGCCTTCCCACAAACATTTAAGCTTGCTGTGTTGTCACTCTCTTAAAACATAAGCCTCTCTCTTGAGAGGACAGCAATTCTCCATCTTGTTTCTTGTTACAGCCGATTTCCTCTGAGTAGTTTCTATGCTCACTGCCTTTACTTGCTCTCTTATTCTGTCTTACATTCCCTCCAATAATGCTTTCATCAGTGTTCCACTGAAACCACTTTTGTCAGCATTACCACCGACCTCCACACTGCTAAATCCAGTGATCCATTTGAGGTATCATCCTTTCCACCTCTTGTCAGGATTTGAAGCAAGTGACAACTGCCTCCTTCTTAAAGTCCTTTCTTTACTTCATAATCCAATCCTAAGTAGATGTTTCTCAAATCGATCCCCTCCTTTTCATCTGCATTACTTATTTTCTGAGTCAGACACTCTCTTTTTATATAAACTACTTATTCTTCTACCTGGCTACTTCTACTCTCTCGCTAGATCCATTTTCTTATCCCAATTTCTAGATGCTGCGGAGCACTGGGGTGTCGTGAATGTACCCCGTTCTCTTCCTCAGCTGTACTCCGCTCCTCGATGGTCTTCACGCTCTACAAGCCATCTATCCATCAATGGCAGCTGAAGGAATACCACAGGCCACCATCCGCCCAGTAAAATATATCCAGCTGCCATTGTCACATATCGAAGTGGATGGTGAATAGTTAAATCAGACTTAACATGCCTGAAACAGTTTCTTATCTGCCTTTATCTGACCTTGACACCCATTCCTTCCAAATATTTTCCAATTTCCATTAGGAATTGTCATAACCATTCACCCAAAATCTCAACTCAAAGAATTCTGACATTTCACATTTTATTTTTTAGTAAATATCATTGGTTCTCCCCTTTAAATATATTAGAACCCCGGCAAAACCTCACCACCTCCACTACCTCCACCCTAGTCCAAAGCGCTCACGTTCTGGTGCCCATGGAGGTGCCTGATTGGCTCTCCCTTCACAAGAACCTGCTGCAAGGAGCAGGCAGGTGACAGTCCCCAGCTGCCACTCTTTCCTGACTACCAGGCCACCCTCTCCCAGGCTCTTCCCAGTCCTAGGAGAGAGGACTAGGTCAAGGCTATTCATGCCTGGAACAGGATTCTTCTAGAGAGCAGCTTTTCCCAGGCGGCCCCCATTGGCCTTGCCAGCACCTCCTCAGCACTATGCTGGGTCTCAGGCTGTCCGAGCTCACCTCTCCTTTCAAGGTCTCCCACTGGCACAACTGTCTGAAGGCTTCCCCTCCCTGCCTCTGCCCCCGTTCCCTTTGTCCTTCACAGTTATGTAGATGGACCTTGCACATCTCATCTTGCTGGGCATCTACCTCAGACACAAACATGGTTCACCTGTACCTGATGCTAATATTTCTCCTTCCTCCCACTATAGCAGCGAGAGGTGTCTTTAAAACAGAAGACCAATGGTGTCCTATGACTCTTATAACCAAATCTAAACATGGCCACAAAACCTTTAAAATATGGCAGCCTCTCCAAATGTCTCCTTTGCTTCTCTACCCCTGTTACATTGGCCTCCTTGCTGTTACTGGGATCCATGTGGCATAGACCAGACCCACCTGTGCACATCTTTCTTCCTACAGAGGTCAGCAATGTTCTTCTCCAAGATACACATGCTCCATGTGGCCAGTCTTTCTTCCTACAGAGGTCAGCAATGTTCTTCTCCGAGATACACATACTCCATGTGGCCAGTCCTTCATTTGAGTCCCTGCCTCCCCTCGGCGAGACCTCCCTGACCCTGACTGTTTCTAAAACAGAAAATGTTTTCCACAAATGTCACTTGAGACATAAATCAAATGTATTTAAACATCCAAATATGCAGGCACTTTTCCAATCAAGTAATCCTTGAATAAACCCCAACTAAATGTCAAGCAAGGACATAAAATAAAGGGATAGAGTTTTGATAGCACAATATACTAGATATTCACATTCTCTGGGAAATATTTTCTTCTGAGATTAAAGTCGCACTTCTCTTTTCTGCAAATTGCAAGACATTGAATATTATTTCCACTCATCTATCAGTTATTTGTAAAATCAAACAAATGCACTGTGCAAATGGATGCAAATGAACTGTGACTATGCGTGTTTGTTTTGTATTCTGACTACAGTGACCATAGGTTTCATTTTAATAACCTTTCTGGTAGCTCTTTGAGAGCATTGTTAGAGACAATAATTCTTCAGAAGAGCACACATTATGAAGATAGAGATTTGATAAAGTGTTTATTATCTTTGTGGCCAAACTTTAAGGACTCATATCTGACACTGATCTAAGAGTATTTGTTAAAAGTGGTCAAAATGTGATTTATTTCTAAGTGTCTTCTGTTGTGTTCATCTGATATTCATTATCTGTAATTTTAAAAAATCATATTATGGAACTATGTGCTTGGCATGTGCTATCAAGAGTCAAATTTCAATACATGGATTACAAAGAAAATACCCTCAGGCACTGAAATGTCCTAAAGATGAGTCATTTTATAACCTAATATGTACCAAGAACATTCCAGCATAGAAAACATTCAAGCATCAAAAAGAAATAGATTTACTAGTGCTCTCTATGAATAAGATTTGCTTTAACTTTAGCCTTTCTTTGGTACTTGGGCAAATTCAGACTTCGAGTCATATTTTCTTTCTTAGAATAGACTTTCTTTTTGAAAAGTGATATAACTTTAAAAGGGAGAATACTGGAGACATCACCTGACCCAGTCACCCTATTGTAAAGTGAATTCAATAAGGTCTTGAGAAGTAGGGAACTTGCTTAAAGCCACAGAGCTAATGGAACTTAATCAACCCGCATTATTTGGAGATCGAACTCCAGTGTAATAACTTCTAGTTAATGTGTTTTCATGAAGCTGTGGTGTTCCGATATAACAGTTTTACGAAAGAACGAGTCACTCAATTTTCCCTCCAAATACTTATATAGCAAACCTCATACAAGACAAAGTTTCTGGCTCAAAGAGCTTTGGATTTAATTTAAAAGATAAGACACATTCACAGAAACTAGTAACAATAAAGTAATGTGATGTGATTAGTATAGATATTGTAACATCTAAGTTGTCTGATTACCATCCTAATGATAATTTCAAATACAAAGAAAATACAAGTACATATAATATCAAGAATATTGAGAGGCTGGGCACAGTGGCTCATGCCTGTAATTCCAGCACTTTGGGAGGCCAAAGTGGGTGGATCACCTGAGGTCAGGAGTTCGAGACCAGCCTGGCCAACATGGTGAAACTCCATCTCTACTAAAAATACAAAAAAATTAGCCGGGCATGGTGGCGGACACCTGTAATCCCAGATACTCAGGAGGCTCAGGCAGAGAATTGCTTGAATCCTGGAGGCAGAGGTTGCAGTGAGCGGAGATCACACCACTGCATTCCAGCCTGGGCTGGACAGAGCGAGGCTCAGTCTCCAAAGAAAAAAAAAAACACTCTGGAAAATTGTAACAAATAGTTATGCTGATTCTAAATATGAAATCCGTTTTCTATCCACTGACGGATTCAGGTCAAGTTTCATGAGGGGTTAAGCCCTGAAGCTCACAGAACATCTATGCTAAGACTTTCCACTGCTGAGGGTCTGAAATTGTTGCATGGAAGTTCAGGAGGCGGGTTGGGGACTGGCCATACAAATCAGAGAAGACCCCAGAGGAAAGAGTGGGTGGCATTTGTTATAGACCAGAGAAGGGAAAGCTGAGCTGCATTTGCAGAAGTGAAAGGGAATGGCTGGGTTTCAGTTTTAACCCTTTTGGTCTCACTAAAGTGGCAGCAATGATTGATGATTTAAAAGGCAAGAACGTGCTCTGGAAGGCATGCCTGATGGAATGGAAGGAGTTCCCTGGTTAAGTGAGACAGTTTTTGTGTGCTAATGAGTAGTGTATTTGTATAGCCAGTCAGCGTTTTTCTTTACTCATTTGTAGCACACTTTCTCCTTATTCAGATGCATTTTACAAGAGCTGCTAATTTTTTTCATGAAAAACAAGTTATTTTGTAATCAATCACATTTTATATTCTAACCCATAGATTAAGGAAATAGATACTATGTCATCTGATCCAAAAAACTCCATTTATGTTCGCAAATATATGGATAAACAAAGTATCAAATGCTTTTTTATGATCCTTTTTTTTAGATTTGATCAATATTTCTTATTGCCTGAAGTACAAATACTCTCAAATCCATTCCTCAAATGTAATAAAATACTTTCTCAGGTTTTTAACCAGAACATGTATAGTAACATCTATTAACATAATTTTATTTATTTTATTATTTATTTATTTATTTATTTATTTATTTACTTTTGAGATGGAGTCTTGCTCTGTCACCCAGGCTGGCGCATTCTCGGCTCACTGCAACCTCCGCCTCCAAGGTTCAAGCGATTCCCCTGCCTCAGTCCCCCGAGTAGCTGGGATTACAGGCAGCGCCACCATGCCTGGCTAATTTTTGTGTTTTTAGTAGAGACGGGGTTTCACTGTGTTGCCCAGGCTGGTCTTGAACTCCTGACCTTAGGTGATCCACCCGCCTCAGCCTCCCAAAGTGCTGGGATTGCAGGCGTGAGCCACCACGCCTGGCCTATAATTTTTAAAAAATACGTAGTAAATTATGTAAAAGCAGGCAACCCTCAATCATTAAACTTTCAAGGAAAATGCTATCAGTTGGGAGGCTATGAATGTTTGGAGGTGGGGATATATTGGAACTCTATTTTCTGCTCAATTTTGCTATGAACACAAAACTGCTTTAAAAATAAAGTCTATTTTAAAATACCTTAAAAATGATGTTGGCATTTAAAGTTAAACCTCAGATCAGATAATAAATCATGTAGTTGTTGAATTATCATTATCGTTCACTTATTAGTCAAGAGAAGAAACACTGTTGTATATTTAAATGGTATGCTAGATTAATAAGGTAAAAACATGTTACATATTTTGATTTTTAAAAATGCATCAAATCAGCAGATATCCAGAAAAGTCACAAGAATGTTGAAAGATATAATCATTTCCTTCAAAATGTTGAGTATTTTCTTAACAATAAATAAATAATAAGAGCTAAAATTTATAGAGTATTAACTTTTTAAAAAAATGTTTTTTGAGACTAAATATCGCTCTGTCACCCAGGCTGGAGTGCAGTGGCGCCATCTCGGCTCACTTCAAGCTCCGCCTCCCGGGTTCAAGCAATTCTACTGCCTCAGCCTCCCGAGTAGCTGGGATTACAAGCACGTGCCACCATGCCTGGATAATTTTTGTATTTTTAGTAGAGATGGGGTTTCACCATGTCAGCCAGGCTGGGCTTGAACTTCTGACCTCAGGTTATCTGCTCACCTCGGCCTCCCAAAGTGCTGTGATTACAGGCGTGAGCCACCGTGTCCAGCCTATAGAGTATTAACTTTGAGGTAAGTAGAATTATTATCCCTGTTTTACTATTGAGGAAGTCAGGGCTTAGACAAAGGATAAGCCTTCTGTGCCACCCAAGGTCACAGAAGTACGGACCCTAGAGACTGAATTCAAACCTCCCACCTGCCTTCAGAGACTGCACACTTAAGCACTGCAGATATGCTGCTCTCCTGGACATAAAATGTGTTGAAAAGATAACCAGTGATTCATTTTAAATTATAATAGACTATTATAATTGGCTCATCTTATCATTGATAACCTTCGTTAACATAAAAATATTATTGAAATAGTTCACTTCAGTGAATTCTCTATAAATAATTTCAAATAACAGCATTTTCAGACAGAATTTTCCAGCAGCAACACCTTACTGCTTCTTTTCTTTGCTTTTGCTTAAGTTACTTTAGACAGCAGATGAAGATGAGGCATGAGCTTCTCACCTCCTTGTCAAATTACATTAATAGTTAAACTTAATCAAAAGGAGATGGTCTGTGTTCATTGAAAAATAGCTATTAAAGTTCCCTTTACAGTAAACCCAGCTCCACTGAATCCAATCATTGAAAGAGACTTTATTTCCATTTCAGAACATATATACAGCCTCGAGCTAAGGAAACCTGTGCTCTGCAAATCAGGATTCTTGTGAAACTACGTTTTCAGCAAATTGGTAACTAGGCGGTAAAATGGTATGAGAAGAAATAAAGAAAAAGCATATTTGTGATGCGGAAATTATTTTTTAAAGGATGAGTTTTTAAGATAAGGTTGCAGCATCAGCTGTGTCTGCACATATTCCGTGCAGTGGTCAGTGGAATCTATTACACACATACCTCAAGCAAACATGTCACTTTTCCTCAATCAGATGGATATTTCTAACAATCTGCCTTTTCTTGCCTTGAAATTTGAGGCAGTTACTGATCTTCACTTCTTTACAGCCCTTTTGCCATCTTCCATTTGCAGAAATATAAAAGTGAAAACAAAATTCAAAACTCACAGAAAAAATATAACTTACACTAACCTATGTCTGTTATTGCTTCTAGTTTAAGCGCATTTCCACGTGTAGCCTTACAACACTATGTTTTGTACCAGTAGACACAGCACTGGCTGGCTCCGAATAGAAGTTGGAAACTTGTGAAAGGCACACACAGTTGAAGAAAGCAGCCTCTGGACTTAGAAAGACTATTCCAAGCTACAGCATTCCTTGTCGCGGGTTCAGAGAATCTTCATGTATTCCCTGAACACTGAACAGAAAGCTGACCAAGAGTGAAAAGGCTAAGTGCGATGAAAAAGATATAAATAAATAACACGAGAATGAAGAAGAAAAAGAGGACTTTCAGTCGGAATTACCAGAATACTTCATAAATAAGGAGACCTATGATCAGTTTCACACCAGATAAATCAGATGTGGATGAATGAGCACAAAAGTATCTTGGAGAAGGGAGCAGAGTTGGGAGCGTGAGCAAAGTAATGTTAATCACAGAGCGGTGATCGTGTCAGTCTTATCACTGGGTGAAGACACTTAAACTAGAACCAGGCTTCCAGGAACACTTCACTACATAGTCATTGAATGAGGAGCATTAAATACTATGCAGATCCGTTGCACTCTAGGAGGTGTGAAAGAAAATGGCAGGTGACTGCACCAGAAACATTATCTGAAAGCGGAAGACTGAACACCTTCAGTGTCACATGAAGGACGGTGAACTTTATTCAACAGGCAATAGAGACTTGGAAGCTTGTGAGAAGTCTTGTAAACAGAACTATGCTTTAAAAAATAAACTGATTACCACAGATAAGATGAATTATAGTTTGAAGAAAAAGTTGAGCATCTAGAGAAGAATCCCAGTGAAATGAAATGAGTGTAAGCCAAAGTCAACAGGATCTACGTGGAGAAGAGAAAATGAATACAAGAGATGTAACAGAGGTTGGTAAGAAATTAACAGTGGTTCAATGCAGAGCATAAAAGGAAGAAGGACAAGTTTGAGAGTGGAAACTATGAATTTACATTAAAAAACATACACATAAGGATTAAAACATTTGGTTATATGCATTTGATTTGCTCTGAGGCAACCTAATAGAAACATAAGAATAATGATAATAATAGTAATGATAATGATGATGATGATGTAATAGTAATAGCCAAAAATTTCATGTCACTTAGTAAGTACCAGGGCAACTATTAAATGCCTTACACATGTTAGCTCACTTAGAACATCTGACTGTGTTCAGTAAGCATGGATTTGGGTGTAATCAACATTAAGAGATGTAGCTGAGATAACAAGATTGACGAGAGATAAAATTATTTTCAGAGTGAGAAATCTCAGGCTTGATATCAGAAGAGACGATGATAAAGCAAATGCAAATGCATTGAAAGCAAGGCTTCTGGCATGATATGCTGTTCATCTATTGGATGTTATTTTCAATTTCAAAAAATATAAATTGCTAATTTGAAAAATACATGAAGAAGGCCGGGCATGGTGGCTCATGTCTGTAATCCCTGCGCTTTGGGAGGCCAGGGCGGGTGGATCACAAGGTCAGGAGCTCAAGACCAGCCTGGCCAGCATGTTGAAACTCCACCTCTACTAAAAATAAAAAAATATATATATATATACACACACACATTATATATGTGTGTATATATATATATATATAATGTGTGTGTGTGTGTGTGTGTGTATATATATATATATATATATATATATATATATATATATATATATATATCAATTAGCCAGGCATGGTGGTGGGCGCCTGTAGTCCCAGCTACTCAGGAGGCTGAGTCAGGAGAATTGCTTGAACTGGGGAGGCAGAGGTTGCAGTAAGCCAAGATTACGCCACTACACTCCAGCCTGGGTGACACAGCAAGACTCTGTCTCAAAAAAAAAAAGTAAAAAGAAAGAAAAAAGAAAAATACATGAAGAAAATATGGAAAGGGAGGAGAAGGTATTTTTGAGAGTTTCAGAGAGAATGTGTGGAAACAAGAGCAGAAACGGGGAAATACGGGCAAAAGAGCTGGAGGGATGGCCAGAGTGATGGAAAGGGCTTTGTGAATCACAAAGGAAGGAGGCTCTATGTTTCATGGTAAGATGAAGCCTAAGGTTGGCTGTGCTCTACTTAGAAACACTGTGACCTGCCAGCTTCTATTCTACGCACCGACTAAGGTCCATTCAATGTGAGGCAGTGCTTCTAAAACCTCTTTTCCCCTGTCTTTGGCTATCTTTAAGGAGCTCAAGAAGGAGCTCACAGATAAAGCAGAATGTGAATCACACTCATTGATAAACAATTAGGAGGCTTTGGTTGAAAAAATATCCCTTGAGCATGGATTTAATTAAGCAATTAGATTAATTAGAAGCATTTCACCAAAGGCTGGTCAGTTCTAAATTGAAGATACCACTTTGCCACCTGAACAAAATGTTTTGGTTATTTACAAAACAGATGCTTGTTGCTGCATGAACATAGTTTAAATCACTTTCTGACAATACACCAGTTGTTTAAGGGACAGCCTTTGCCAAAGGAAGGAAATTCAGCTTAGTTACTCTTTATCTTTTGTCTCCCAAGACAGTGCCTAGAAATCCATCCACCCATTTATTTGGTCCTTCATAACTAAATAGATTAAAAATAGTTATTGAGTACATTCCATTCATTCCAACTCTCATGTTATCGAACAACTTTGGAGAAAATTCTATAAAGAAGCTAATTTACACCATAATAAATTTATTGGCTCCAGCTTTAAATCCATGTTAAATGTTACTCAGTAATATTTTATAGTAAAACATCCAACATGTGGATTCTTGATTACAGAAAAAAAATTGACAAAGTTTGGAACTTAAACATCTCAGATTTTGAGATAACATTACCTTTGACACTAGCCTTTTGTAGAGGCAGTAATTAATGGCTTCTCATAGATATATTAGTGATGCTTATTAAAGAATAATTTTATAAATACAGCACATGAAATTGGCATATTGAACTAAACGCAGATGAAATAGTAAGTTTTCCTGAATGATCTTCATTTTAAATAGTTATTATTTTTTATTTTCAGTATTTACAATATATCTAAAAAGTTGCCTTAAAAATAGTTGCATCTGCAGTAGAACTGAGGGCTGAGATGGATGTTGAAGGGTGAGGAACTGAAAGTATTTTAAAATACATTCAATGAGAGTAAAATTGTGGTGAAGGTATTTTAAATACCTTCAATGAGAGTAAAAGAAGTATTGTAAGTTACTTATGTTGAAAAAGAATAGGCAAAGTTCATTGCTACTTGACCATTCATCCAACAGACAAGTATTTCTTTATCTTCTACTATGTAGCAAACACTGTGATCATAATTGAAGAACCAGACTTGATTAAAGGCAGCAAGGTATCATGAGCCAGGCTGACAAGTCAGCAGGTGGTGTGGTGCTGTGATACAAGCCTAGAGACAGTGCTGGGGAGGGAGCGACTGACTAGGGAGTGATAAGGAAGAGCTCCACAACGGAGTAAATTAAGCTGAGCCTTAAATAATGAATGGAAATTGCCCATTGAGGAAGGGAAAGGTCCAGATGGAAGAGATAATCAGAGGGAAGGTCTAGGGAAGGGATAATATAAGGAATGAAATGTTCCAAGTCATGGTGAATGATATAAACATTGGGAATATGAGGTCAGAGGATTAGGTAGGCAACAGACAACTAAAAACCACGCGTAAGATAGGTAATTTGGACTTTATTGAATAGATGGGAAGCAAGCGGCAATTTTAAGGAAGAGATTAACATTCTTGCCTTCTGGTATAGGATTGGGGAGCAAAGGAGAGGAGAAATTAGCAAGAGATTTTATGAGTCCTTATGTGTTAGGTGAGTCTCTTGAAGGCAGCAGATGGTTGGTGAAGGCTTATCCGTTCTGCAATTCTGTATCTTTGAAGTGGAGCATTTAGGCCATTTACATTCAATGCTAGTATTGAGACTTGAGGTATCATTCCATTCGTTGTGTTATTGTCGCCTGTATACCTCGGTTTTTCGTTTTGTTTTGTTAATTGTATTTTTGTTTTATAGGTCCTGTGAGATTTATGCTTTAAACAGGTTCTGTTTTGATATGTTTCCAGGATTTGTTTCAAGATTTAGAGCTCCTTTTAGCAGTTCTTGTAGTGCTGGCTTGGTAGTGGCAAATTCTCTCAGCATTTGTTTGTCTGAAAAGGACTGTATCTTTCCTTCATTTATGAAGCTTAGATTTGCTGGATACAAAATTCTTGGCTAATAATTGTTTTGTTTAAGGAGGCTGAAGATAGGGCCACAAATCTTTTCTCGCCTGTAGGGTTTCTGCTGAGAAATCTGCTGTTAATCTGGTAAGTTTTCCTTTATAGGTTCCGGTTTTTTGTTTTGTTTTGTTTTGTTTGTTTGTTTGTTTTGCCTCACAGCTCTTAGGATGCTTTCCTTTGTCTTAACGTTAGATAACCTGATG
This sequence comes from Homo sapiens, assembly GCF_000001405.40. NCBI lineage: Eukaryota > Metazoa > Chordata > Mammalia > Primates > Hominidae > Homo > Homo sapiens. The sequence goes on along the minus strand of NT_187545.1, from coordinate 22,488 downwards.
ACCATGTGCCTAGGCAATCATCTTTTTGTGGTGAATTTCCCAGGTGTTCTTTGTGCTTCTTGTATTTGGATGTCCAGGTCTCTAGCAAAGTCAGGGAAGTATTCCTCGATTATTCCCCCAAATATGTTTTCCAAACTTTTATTTTTCTCTTCTTCCTCTGGAATACCGATTTTTCTTAGGTTTGGTCATTTAACACAATCCCAGACTTCTTGGAGGCTTTGTTCATATATTCTTATTCTTTTTTCTTTGTCTTTGTTGCATTGGGTTAATTCGAAAACCTTGTCTTTGAGCTCTGAAGTTCTTTCTTCTGCTTGTTCGAGTCTACTGCTGAGACTTTCCAGAGCATTTTGCATTTCTGTGTGTCCATTGTTTCCTGAAGTTTTGATTCTTTTTTATTTATGCTATCTATTTCATTGAAAGTTTCTGCCCTCATTTCTTGTGTCATTTTTTTTTACTTCCTTAAATTGGGCTTTGCCTTTCTCTGGAGCCCTCCCTGGTTAGCTTAATAACTAACCTTCTGAATTCTTTTCAGGTTAATCAGGGATTTCTTCTTGGTTTGGATCCATTGCTGGTGAGCTAGTGTGATTTTGGGGGGTGTTAAAGAAACTTGTTTTGTCATATTACCAGAGTTGGTTTTCTGGTTCCTTCTCATTTGTGTAGGCTGTGTCAGAGGGAAGGTCTGGGGCTGAAGGCTGTTGTTCAGAGTCTTTTGTCCCATGGGTGTTCCCTTGATGTAGTACTCTCCCCCTTTTCCTAGGGATGTGGCTTCTTGAGAGCCGAACTGCAGTGATTGTTTTTTCTCTTCTGGGTCTAGCCACCCAGCAAGTCTGCCAGGCTATGGGCTGGTAAAGAGGGTTGTCTGCAGAGTCCTGTGATGTGAAACATCTGTGGGTCTCCCAGCCATGGATACCAGCACCTGCTCTGGTGGAGGCGGCAGGAGGGTGAAGTGGACTCTGTGAGGGTCCTTAGCTTTGGTTGTTTAGTGCACTATTTGTGTGCTGGTTGGGCTCCTGCTGGGAGGTGGTGCTTTCAAGACAGCATCAGCTGTGGCAGTATCGGGCGGATCCCACACAACCCAGAGGGCCGGTCTCACTCTCACCGTGCCCCCCACAACAGCCCCGAGTCTGTTTCCAGGTAGGGGGCGAGCATGGCTGAGAACCTGCCTCCCAGCTGTGATAAGACTAGAAGCAGAGAGCAGTTTCCTGGAATAGCCAAGGCAGCATCGGATGAGGGTCTGAGGTGAAGCCGTGGAAGTCCAAGCAGTGGCTCTGCCCTGAGATGGAATAGGCTGAAACTCAGCAACTACGTGGATTTGCAGGTGAACAAGAGGACACGGGACAGAATGGAGCAGAGTGGATCCGAATGAAAATGCAAGCGATAATGCTATTGACTTCGTTCATTAAAACGGGAAGTAAAATAAATGTAGGTGGTTATAAAAATGATTTTTTTGGGGCGGGGGACAGATTCTCACTCTGTTGCCCAGGCTGGAGTGCAATGGCACCGTTTTGGCTCACTGCAACCTCCGCCTCCCGGGTTCAAGTGATTCTCCTGCCTCAGCCTCCCAAGTAGCTGGGACTACAGGAGCCTGCCACCACACCAGGCTAATTTTCGTATTTTTAGTACAGACGGGGTTTTGCCATGTTGGCCAGGCTGGTCTCGAACTCCTGACCTCATGATCCGCCCACCTCGGCCTCCTAAAGTTCTGGAATTACAGGCGTGAGCCACTGTGCCTGGCCATAAAAATGAATTTTTTATCCATATTAAGATGCCTCTGGGGAATCCAGTAGACACATTAATATGGAACTGAATCTCAAATAAAATATTAAGCATGGAGATATGAATTTAGAAGTAATCAATGCAGAGATAATTAATGCCATAAAAGCAGATGAGATTATGCTGGAAAGTGAAAAGAGAAGACCTGGAAGGAACAGTAAGAAACTTCAACATTCGGGGAGCAAGCAAAGGACTTTTAAGGGCCAAATATACTATAGTTTAGCACAAAGCTGATTGAATAACATACTTTTCTTCAGCATACTAGGAAATCAAGGATAAAATGATCATATTAATAATAAACAGCACTAATGATTACTATCAGAAATACATGAAAGCAACCCACCATCACATATGTTGGTATTAATGAAGAATTAGGACTTTAACCAATGTAATCATATGACATTTAGCAGGGCATCCAGGAAGACCTGAATCTTGCTCCAGTCTCTAGTCACCTCTTTCTACAAGGTCCACAAAGCATATTTATGTGCAAAAAAATAATAGAAAATACCTAATGGCTTCAAAGACACATCGTTAGCTGGGCATGAGCTGGCAGACTCCATTGCAGAAAACTTGGATAAGACAGGCTGTTTATAGTCCTTTATCCTAAACTCATTAGGTCTAAATGATTTTTAACTCAAAAGAGCAATGCAAACATGCACAGGCTCCACAACACGGGGTCTGATTTTGTAACTAAAGGGAGCACCCTGAGCCCAGTGACGGAGACAGCTGGCCTGAGTCCTAGCAAAGCCAGAAGCCTCACACTCCCTGCTGCCACATTGGCTAAAGCCATCAGCTGGCTGGGCTTTTGTGGTGGCACTGCAGGGACAGGAGAAAGTGACACCTATGGAAAGGCATTTTAACACAGAGTTCCTCACTAGCAGACGTTATCCAATCTGTATCCTGCACTAATGAGTTAACGAGGTACAGGGAACAAGAAAATCTTGCCTGCCCACAGTTGTATATGACTCATCACCTCAGTGCATCTTCTTTTTAAATGCAGTTTTTATGATATTATTAAATTCATGTTGCAGATAATAAGCAGGTAAAGTTCCAAAACACTAAATAGTACCTAAAGTTTTAAAAACAATGAGTGAACAAAGGTGGTTCACTTTTGTTTTTAAAAACATTTTTATTAGCCGGGTGTGGTGGCGGGCACCTGTAGTCCCAGCTGCTCGGGAGGCTGAGGCAGGAGAATGGCGGGAACCCGGGAGGCGGAGCTTGCAGTGAGCCCAGATTGCGCCACTGCACTCCAGGCTGGGCAACACAGCGAGTCTCCGTCTCAAAAAAAAAAAAAAAAAAAAAAAAGTTAAGCATTTTTAAACATTTTAAAAACACTGAGTGAAGAAAGCTGCATATGGTTCTGACTCCATATGTAGTCTGTTTTCTACTGTATTACTCTACCTTATATTAAAACAGCTGAATATATCAGGAATGCACATATTAGGCCTCCTGAGTCCTGTTGCAGTGTGACAGCTGATTTCCATGGATCTTCTAGAAAAGTTTTTAAAAAGTTAACTTGGTACCTGAACATTTGCTATGACTAGAGAAAGTGACCATATATTTCTGGCATATAATTTATAGTACCGGCTTAAAAAAATAATTTCACACCTTTCAATTTGACGTGTATTTTTCAACTGAAATAGAGTCTAACTGTGCAATGGGATAAAACCTTGAATAATTTTAGAAATTGTGTTTAAATATTTGTAAAGAATTGTGCCTATAAATTACCTATATTTAAAGTCTACTCATGTAAAGACACCTATTGCATACATTTAAATGTAAAATGGGGATGATAAACAGGCTACATAGGACTTGGAATGACCATCTAGATCCTCTTTCGCTAGATCCCATGAAATTAATGCTGCCCTGTGATTCTAGGCTTCACGGGCTCGTCACATGATAGGTTTCGGGTCTTTCTGCTTTCCTCAAAGATGAGTGCTCAAGTATTTCAAGGTTATCATTTCTATTATACAAGCAGAATTTTCTCCTGTTGTACAATGATTGGATGTGAAATTTCTGCCCATTTGCATGTGCCTCGGTGATAACTGGAAGCTTATTTAGGAGCATCATTTGAATGTGCTCTAGGCCATGTGGACAGTCCTTCAATTACAGAAATACAGCTCAGTTCTAACTGTTCAGAGCTTTAAAGGCCATAGGCTGATATTCAAAGTAACTGGTTTAAAACGCATGATAGACTGCTCTTTTATTATACTTCTATAAGACACAAGTCCCTTCAAAATGTATCTAATAAAGTCATATTTATTAAAAAGTCATAACCAGTATAATCTGGAGTTTTTAAAAGTCTTTACATTTAGTCCAAGAAGAAGATCTCTCCTAAGTATTTCACTGTTCCGAGTGAGATCATTAGAATATACCAGATCAACTCTTCCATTAGGGAAGAGCATTGTTTCTTCTTGAAAATTATTGACAGCATCATTTGCAAGTTGTTGAATAATCATACAAATGCCCAAGTATTGTGACTGTATATGAAAATCACCTTTCATAAAAAAATTGGACGCCAGGTGCGGTGGCTCATGCCTGTAATCCCAGCACTTTGGGAGGCCTAGGCAGGCTGATCACGAGGTCAGGAGATCGAGACCATCCTGGCTAACATGGTGAAACCCCGTCTCTACTGAAAATACAAAAAATCAGCCGGGCGTGGTGGCGGGCACCTGTAGTCCCAGCTACACGGGAGACTGAGGCAGGAGAATGGCGTGAACCTGGGAGGCAGAGCTTGCAGTGAGCTGAGATCATGCCACTGCACTCCAGCCTGGGTGATAGAGCGAGACTCCATCTCAAAAAATATATAAATAAATAAAAATATGTGGGTTTTTGGAAAAAATTAGAAGTCGGGATATATGTGTTAAAGGTGCTAACAGAAATTTGATGCAGTGTTTGGTCACGTGTCACCTTCTTTATTCCTAAGTTTTATTTGTATAAATTTATTTTGTTATCCTGTTTTAATCAAAATTTTGGACAAAATTTTCTGCAAGATAGTCCCTTATAATTTCTGTTTATAAAATGGCCAAATTGTGAATTCCCGTGTCAAATTGATCCACTTACTGAAAAGCAGTAGCATTATTATACTATACCCACTTATACCTGAGAAGTATGTCTTAATTAATATAGTCTATGACCGTATCATATTCCATTAGAGTAACAGAAGGAAACAGTAAATACAAAATCTAATGTAATGTACTCGAAATAAGAGAGACCAAGGTTCAAATCCAACTCCATCTTTGATCTTATTGAAGTCAGTGAAACAGTGTCAGCCTCAGGGATAAGCAGCTTGCTCATACAGCCTCAGAGGCAGTCTTTGGTCCTTTTTCAGCTGTCTCTCATTTTTCTCATTTTTATAGGTGGAAAAGTGAAAATCCAGTAGAAACCTATATCAGCCTGATTCAACTCATTCACATTCAACTGTTACCTCTGAAATGAGAAAAGGCTCTGCTAATCTGTGAGGTGGAGCTCATAGGAGTGTTGGCGAGACAGTGTTAACTGATATTGATTCAGACTTAGAAGAGGAAGAGAGGAGGCCTGGGACAAATCACCACAGGAGGAGGAATGAGAAGGACAGCATTTGTAAATTACATTTAAATTCCTACTCTGTCTATGGCTTTGGCTGCTCCCAGGAAAAATGATGGGGTGGAGCAGGGATGGAGGGCATAAAAATATGTTTTAAAGAGAAACTGAGTTCTTAGTAGTATTGGCACACACACAGAATACATACTCCAGAGGCTAAAGATTTGTTAAAATAGTATCAGACATATTCTTAAAACCTATGGAGACCTATTTAAACATACAAAAACTAGAAACTAAACTTCCATCCATCATGAAACCGAGAAGTGGCTGCAATCCTAAACTGCGAATTGTGAAAAAATATGTATGAAATATAGTGATATTTGATCAAAAGAGAAAATGGAAAGCTGATACAGCACAGAATTGCTTTCATAACGCATTATAATTTTTCTGCAGCATAAATAATTAACTTGGAAAATTATCAGGTGGAACAAAAAAAAAAGCGAAAAAGTAAATAACAACCAGCTTTGAAACTTCTTACCAGAGTTAGCTGATCTGCAACAAACACTGCTGATGCTGTTACCACTACAACACACAGACACACAAATACACACAGCCACAGCTGGCGGAGCTCACTGTGAGCCTAACTCACCTTGCCTGAAACAGGGACGGACACGGAAAGCTGAGGGGAGACGTGTCCTTAGCAAAGGTGGAGAGAAAATGCTCTGAGACAACATATTCAAAATCTGAAAGTGCCAACTCTTTCAGGTCACTGCCGTGGGTCAGCACGAATTATAGACCTAGATTAGACTACCATTCTGAGAAGAACAGTATAAAGAAATTATGCAACTTGGAATTAATCTATATAGTATGTGGTGTATTAGTTTTAATATTGTAACTACGAGGTATGAAAGATATTGCATTTTGTTATTTTCTTTAAATTAATTCTGCATTAACCTGGCACCAAGTTTGCGTATTGCAAAGCTAGCAGGATATTCTAGCTCATTCTTGGCACTCTATGATCAAACCAAGTTCCTGCCCATCAGGGAGGCCCCTCATCCTCAGATCTGAGTTCGTGCTAGTTAAGTAACTAAGACTGAGATGTTTGTTTTCTTAGCCTTTGTGATTCCTTAAAGGTTGCCAGTTCTGCCATTTCCATAGATCTTTGGGAACCGAAAATGGCTAGGCCTTGGGAGTAGCCACTTTTTTTTTTTTTTTTTTTTTTAAAGGCAGAGTCTCGATCTCCAGGATGGAGGGCAGTGTCACGATCTCAGCTCACTGCAACCTCTGCCTCCCGGGTTCAAGTAATTTATCTTGTCTCAGCCTCCGAGTAGCTGAAATTACAGGTGTGCGCCACCATGCCCAGGTAATTTTTTTGTATTTTTAGTAGAGACAGGGTTTCACCATGTTGGCCAGGATGATCTTGTACTCCTGACCTCAGGTGATCTGCACGCCTCAGCCCCGCAAAGTGCTAGGATTACAGGCATGAGCCACTGGGCCCGGCCAGTAGTAGCCTCTTAAACAGCACCAAGTAGTCAAAGGAATTCTTTCTGAGTTTTTCACACATCCCCAGAGTACTGCTTATGATCATTTTGAAAAAGACCCCTGCTCTTTCCAGAACCCCACACCAATCTTCTTTGCAGCCTCACCCAAATATAACTCCATCACTATTTCTCTAGGATCTTTGTTCTCACTCCATCTCCAGGAGACTAAGCCAAATCCCTTAAAAATTCCAGAAAAACAAAAGAAAAAAAAAACCTCGGTGATCTTAGATAAGGTAACAATATCTTACAGATGACAAAATGATGAGCCATAAAAGAAAGTAGTAATAAATTGTACTTTAACAAAACATAAAACTCCTGCTCTTCAGCCGGGCACGGTGGTTCACACCTGTAATCTCAGCACTTTGGGAGGCCAAGACGGGCGGATCACGAGGTCAGGAGATCGAGACCATCCTGGCTAACACAGTGAAACCCCGTCTCTACTAAAAATACAAAAACAAAATTAGCCAAGCATAGTGGCGGGCACCTGAGTCCCAGCTAGGCTGAGGCAGGAGAATGGCCTGAACCCGGGAGGCGGAGCTTGCAGTGAGCTGAGATCACACCACTGCACTCCAGCCTGGGCGACAGAGTGAGACCCCATCTCAAACAAAAACATAAAAATAAAAATTATTAAGAAAATTAAGGCCAGGCACAGTGGCTCAAATTTGTAATCCCAGCACTTTGGGAGGCCGTGGTAGGAGACTCATTTGAGCCCAAGTGTTGAAGACCAACCTGAGCAACATAGTGAGACCCTGTCTCTACAAAAAATAATAACATTAGCCATGCAGGCATAGGTCCCAGTTACTCGGGAGGCTGAGGTGGGAGGATCACCTGAGCCTGGGAGGTTGAGGCTTCGGTGAGTTGTGATCACACCACTGCACTCCTGCCTGGGTGACAAAGCAAGACCCTGTCTCCCCCCACCAAAAATTAATTAAATAAATAAAATTAAAATATAAACCACAGACTGAAAAAAATTTGAAAATTATATATCTGATATAGGAGATGGACCCAAAATATATGAATGGCTCCTAAATTTCAATAATATGAAAAAAAACAAAAAACCCAATTGAAATCATGGTCCAAAGCTGTGAATAGGGACTTTACCACAGAAGATCTATCAATGACAAACAATGCTATACATCTTTGGTCACAAAAGAAGTGCAAATTAAAACCACAATGAACTACCACCATGCACCTATTAGACTATACAAGTGTTTTTTAAACTGACCATACAAGTGCTGGAGAGGATGTGGTGTAATATACATTCTCATATACTGCTGATGGGAATGTGAGGTGGCACTGCCACTTTGGAAAACATTTTGACAGCTTTTTAAGTTCGATGTAAACCTACCATATACCTACCAGCTGTTCCATTTCTAAGTATTACCCAATAAATATTAAAATCCCTGTCCACATAAAAGCTTGTATATAAACATTCATAGCAGCCTTATGTGTAATAGCCAAAAACTGAAAACAACCCAAATATCCATCAATGGTCTAACCATTCAATGAAATACCACACAACACCAAAAACAATAAACTATTAATAACATGCTACAACTTGGATAAATCTCAAAATATTCATTCTGAATGACATAAATAAAAGAAGCCAGAAAAAAATGGAGTATATACTGTTTTTGGAAGGGAGAGGTGGCAGGAAAGGTCAGGTGCAAGAGACTACCAGGGGCAAGAGAAAACTTTTGGGAAATGGATATTCTCATTTTTTTACTATAGTGATGTTTTATATATATGTATATATATATATATATGTCAAAATTTGTCAAATGTTTAAGTTTAGTGTATGTCGATCATAGTTCAATAAAGCTGTTTAAAATAAAACTAAACACAAGCAGCAATCGTTGATAAAAATTAAGAAAAAATATCATTTAAGAAAGGCCTCTGCAAACATTTTCTTTTTTCTGAATTGATCCTTACATTGCAAAAGAAAAAAAATATTTTGGAGCACATATTTGACCTCATAATTGATTTAAAGTAGTTTTTCTCACTCTTCTTCTTTCTTTTGATGTGACTCCAAATTTATATCTTTTGATATAATACAACCTTCACATTTAGAAGCAATTAACCTAGGGAATAGCTTTATATTAAAAATTTTGAAACAAAGGGAATGATATCAGCAAGATGGCAGAATAGGACATCTCAGCTCTTCCCTTCCAAAAAAAAGGTCAACTAGCAACTATTTCTATACAAGACCATCTTGGCAAAAATTCCAAAATTGTAAATAAACCTGAGACAGAACCACATAAAAACTACATCAGACAGGTAACAACAGTGTCACTCTGACTGTGCTACCCCTTCCCCCTCCCCAATGGGCACAGTGCCACATAGAGAGGATTCCCCTGGTCCACAGTTTCTAAAGTGGAAAAATAAAACATAAGGTGGCCATCCAGCTTAACTAGCACTCCAAGATGCCTCTCAGGAAGCCCAATCTGTTCTCACCTCATGGGAAACATGGGATCATGGCATGACTAGGTCACCTGGGGTCAAATACAAGCAAAGAAAGGAGATGTTACTCACAGTAGACAGGGCTTGTATCTTGGTGGTAGCTCTGCATTACTGTCAGCAGAGGCACCTGATGAGAGGTACCAGTAGTAGCCTCTTAAACAGCACCACATAGGTGGGAGTACCATAGCCCACCTGCAAAGCTAAGCTGGTTACCCCAGAAGCACAGTGGAAAGATCAATCTAGCTTAAATCCCTAGATGCTCAGCCTCCATGCTCAGCTTCAGGCTTCCCCCAACTTCCTCCTGCTGAGAAGAGAGATACCTACCACAGAGTATTTTGGCAAAGCACAGGGACTATACTTGCACCACCTGGGCATTTAAGAGGAGTTTGGCTCAACCTAAAAGTCCATCCCAAGAACCAGACCCAAGAAGACCCTGCTCATGGAGTGAGACACCCACCATGGCATATCTTGGCTACATACAGGGGCTAGACCACCCCAGTCTGGGAGTTCAAATAGCAGCTCACCTCAACCTCAAATCCCACACCAAAGCTACATCCAGGCAGGGAAGTAAACCTCAATATTGTGCATTTCTGCCAAACTTAGCAGCTGATCCTGACTCTCCCAATCAGTGACTCAGCCTAAGCTTAGGACCCAATCTGCAGCCCTACCCAAATTCCAAAAGTCAAACAGCAGTACCATTTAACTAGGGAATACACATTGTGTCTTCATCCAATCAGAGGACCCAGCTACCATCTCTGCCTGATTGCAGAACCCAGCCAGTGGTCTCACCAAATAGAAGAGCTCAGATCCATCTGATCTCAAAGCAAAGGCAGAGGCTCAGCAAGCTAGAGAGTCTAACGCCAAGCTCTACCTGCTTAGCGCCATTACCAGGTAGCCGACCTAGAATCACAGGCTAGACTTCAGTGAGAGTATAACTTTGCCAAAGAATACCTGTAAAGGACGGAAGAGGTGACCATTTCTTCAAATGCACAAGCACCAATGTAAGGACACAAAGATTATGAAGAATCAGAATAATGACATCTCCAGAAGAAACAAATAAAGCTTCAACAATAGGCCCTAAAGAAATGGAGAGCTATGAAATAACTAACAAAAAATTAATATAGTTCTCTTAAAGAAGTTCAGTCAGCTATAAGAATATAAGGATAGAAGATTAAATAAAATATGAAAAATAATACAAAATGAGAAGCTTGACAAAGAAATAGGATGTATAAAAACAAAACCCAACTATATGCTACCTACAAGAGACTTACCTCACTATTAAAGATTCAAATAGACTAAAAGTGAAGTAACAGAAAAAGATATTTCATGCAAATGGAAATAGAAAAAAAAATCGTAAAATTCATACAGAAACACACACAAAAAAGCCTGACTAGCCAAGGCAGTCTTGAACAAAATGAACAAAGCTAGAGGTCTTACACTACCTGACTTCAAACTATATTACAAAGCCATAGTAATTAAAACAGCATGACACTAGTATAAACAGAAACACTGACCAATGGAACAGAATAGAGAGCACAAAAATGAACCGATGCCCTTCGTCAATTGACTTTGATAAAAATGCCAAGAACACACACAATGCGTAAAGAACAATCTCTCCCATAAAGGACAATGAGAAAATGAGATATTCACATGCAGACGAATAATATTAGTCCCACCCTATCTCACAGAGTATACAAAAATAAACCCAAAATGAATTAAAGATTTAAATGTAAAACCTGAAATTATAAAAAGTACTAGGAAAACACAGAGGAGAAAACTACACAACACTGGTCTGGGCAATGTTTTTTTTTTTTTTTTTTTATTTGACCTCCAAAAGATCAAATAACAAAAACAAAAATAGACAAGTAAGATTACAGTTAACTAAAAAATATTTGCACAACAAAGAAAACAACTACAAGTGAAGAGACAATCTGCAGATCAGAAAAAAATTTACAAGCAATACATTATATAAGGAACTAATACCCCAAATGTATAAGGAGCTCAAAAAAGTTAATAGCAAAAAAAAAAAATCCAATTTAAAAATGGGCAAAGAAACTGAATAAATATTTTTCAAAATAAGACATGCAAATGGCCAACATATATACATATATATATATATATATATATATATATATATATATAATGCTCAATATCACTAATCATTAGGGAAATAGAAATTAAAACTATGATATATCATCTATCAGAAGAGCTAGCAACAAAAAGAGGAAAGATAACAACCGTGATGGTGAGGATGTGAAGAAAAGGGAACACTGTACACTGGTGGGAATATAAATTAGCACAGCCATTACAGAAAACAGTGTGGAGTTCCCTTAGAAAACTAAAAATAGGATTACCATATGTTCCAGCAACCCTATTCTAACTATATACCCTTAGGACTTGAAATTAATATGTCTAAGAGATATCAGCACTTCCATGTTTGTTGCAGCATTGTTTACAATAGCCAAGTCATGGAATCAATCTAAGTGTCAATCAATGGATAAATGGAAAAAGAAAATGAGATATATACACACAATGGAATGTTCTTCAGCCTTAAAAAAAAAAGAAAGAAAAAAAGAAAAAGAAAGAAATTATTTCATTTACAACATGGATGAACCTGGAGGACACTATGTTAAGTGAAATAAGTGAGGCACAGAGACAAATACCCTGTGATCTCACTCATGTGGAATTTTAAAAAGTCAAATGCACAGAAGCAGAGGGTAGAACGGTGGTTACCAGAGGCTGGAGGGTAGGGAAAATGAGAGGTGTCGGTCAAAGGGTATTAAGCTTTAAACAGGAGGAATAAATGATATATATTTAAAATGGGGAGCCGGGCACAGTGGCTCACGCCTGTAATCCCAGCACTTTGGGAGGCTGAGGCAGCCAGCTCACAAGGTCAAGAGATCAAGACCATCCTGGCAAACATGGTGAAACCCCATCTCTATTAAAAAATACAAAAAAAAAAATTATCTGGGCATGGTGGTGTGCACCTGTAGTCCCAGCTACTTGGGAGGCTGAGGCAGGAGAATCACTTGAACCCAGGAAGTGGAGGTTGCAGTGAGCTGAGATCCTGCCACTGCACCCCAGCCTGGGCAACAGAGCAAGACTCTGTCAAAAAAAAAAAAAGATGGATATGTCATTGGCTTGATTCAATCATTCTAAACTGTGGGCATATATCACAACATCATTGTGCACCCCACAATTACATGCAATTATAATTTGTCCTAAATAAATAAATACAACTTAAACATTTACACTTCAACATTTAAGCCTAAGAACATGTGGGAAATAGTCTGTTTTAGCTCCATCTTTTATATTCCATGAATCCCTGAAGTCCTACTTGAGGAAAATCAAGAAATTTCACAGAAGTTAGAGTCACACAAGCACTGAAAAGCTTGCGGTCACAAAAAACCCATGTACCTCCTCAGCCTTTCTTCTCTGTGAACATGAGGGGCTACCTTAGTGCCAGCAAGATGGAAACCAGAGAGATGGGCACAGCGGCCAATGTGGATAAGAGGAGACAGACCTTTTCCTTGAGACAGAAAGTGGTATGGGCATACATCATAACATCACAATATGATATGAGTGGCATCCTGACAAGCCTTGAGCTAGTAAAGGATGAAAAACAAGAAATACTGTTTTCTCCGAATAACATAACAGTATCCAAATAAAAATAGCCTTATAAAATTATATTTAATTCTGGATTTTGTAAACATATTTTAAACTTGCAATGCAAGTTAGATTTTTAGAAATATGTATTTCATGTAAATTGACATCTCCATTACCTATTTTATTTGAGTATTGCAAATACTTAAAAAGTTTAGTGGAGAATATTTGCTTAGAAGGTAATTAAGGAAATCTTTTTTTAATGAAAGCAATTCATGTATTCACAGTGCTTTCAGTTAATATAATTGCTTAATATTAATGTGCAGCATAGATGGCTTAAATTGGTTTTCATTTGATACAGAGCATCAAAGCTTTCCATCGAGATTAGATTTCACCAAGTAACCTGCATTTCTAGACACATAAAGTGTTTAAAGATAGTTATTGTGGAAACATTTCAACGTAATTGAAAATTATAGTAGACGATCCCTTCACTGGCCTTTGTAGTCAAAGTTAAACTGTTAAGTTGTTACGATGCAAGTATGCCTAAATGTTAGCAATCCTTAGCAAGTCGGTATCACGGTAGAGGCGGACATACAGTAATCATAGGAACATCAAATGAAGGTAGCCTCTTCTTGTATTATGCAGCATCACTCTGAGAACTAGTAATGTTCAAGCTTTTCTACAGATTCAGAGCTGCTTCCTGAAAATAAGTTTGGTCCAGCCAGAAGGACCTCTTGTAGTCCACCTTGTGCAGAAAGAGGGATGAACTTCCACAAGGAGAAACATGAGTTTTCAACTTCCTTTAAACATCTTGTTTGCAGACTGCATGACAAGCATTTAGAGGCCGTGAGTGTGCTTTCAACCAGACAGAAATGCCTTGCTTCAAGGGAAAACCGTGTGTGCTATCTAGTGCACCTACCAAAAGTCCATGGGAGCGAGAGTCTAGAAAGAAAGAAAAAGGGCGTCTCTCTCTTTCCGCCGCTCAAGATGCCGAAAGGAAAGAAGGCCAAGGGGAAGAAGGTGGCTCCGGCCCCTGCGGTCATGAAGAAGCAGGAGGCCAAGAAAGTGGTGAATCCCCTGTTTGAGAAAAGGCCTAAGAATTTTGGCATTGGACAGGACATCCAACCCAAAAGAGACCTCGCCCACCTTGTGAAACGGCCCTGCTATATCAGGTTGCAGCGGCAGAGAGCCATCCTCTGTAAGCGGCTGAAAGTGCCTCCTGCGATTGACCAGTTCGCCCAGGCCCTGGACTGCCAAACAGCTACTCAGCTGCTTAAGCTGGCCCACAAGTACAGACTAAAGACAAAGCAAGAGAAGGGGCAGAGGCTGTTGGCCCCAGCTGAGAAGAAAGCTGCCGGCAAAGGGGACGTCCCCACTAAGAGACCACCTGTCCTTCCAGCCGGAGTTAACACCGTCACCACCTTGGTGGAGAACATGAAAGCTCAGCTGGTGGTGATTGCACACGACGTGGATCCCATCGAGCTGGTTACCTTTCTGCCTGCCCTGTGTCGTAAAATGGGGGTCCCTTACTGCATTATCAAGGGGAAGGCAAGACTGGGATGTCTAGTCTACAGGAAGACCTGCACCAAAGCTCAAAAAGGCAAAGGCTAAAGAAATTCCCACTAAACTTGGTTAAATGTACACTGTTGAGTTTTCTGTACATAAAAATAATTAAAATAATACAAATTTTCCTTAAAAAGCTAAGGCACACCAAGCCCTAGGCATTCCACTGAGCTCCGACATAAGGATGCTCTTATAGTAACTGTAATTTACTGCATTGCAGTTATTTGTAAATCTGCAATTATATATGTCAATCTTTTCTTAGACTAAAATGCTTCTTAAGAGTGCAGGTTTTTGAGGCCGGGTGCGGTGGCTCACGCCTGTAATCCCAGCACTTTAGGAGGCCGAGGCAGGTGGATCATTAGGTCAGGAGTTCGTGACCAGCCTGGCCAACGTGGTGAAACCCCGTCTCTACTAAAAATCCAAAAATTAGCCGGGTGTGGTGGCGGGCACCTGTAATCCCAGCTACTTGGGAGGCTGCGGCAGGGAATTGCTTGAACCTGGGAGGTGGAGGTTGCAGTAAGCTGAGATCGTGCCACTGCACTCCATCCTGGGTGAGAGAGCAAGACTTCGTCTCAAAAAAAAAAAAAAAAAAAAAAAAAAAAAAAAGTTCATGCTTCGGACCCAGACGCCAAGTATTTGTATGTTAGGCCTGTCATTGTATTTGTTATGTTAGGCCTGTCATTGGCTATGAGGGAGATCAGGAAGATCTGTGCAAGCTACTTCCTATTTCTGTTCCTCTGTTTCCTCACCTTTAGATGGTCAATAACAGTAACTCCTTCATAGAGTTGTTGTGAGGATTAAAGGAATCAATACAAGTAAAGTATTTAATAACACCTAGCACACAATGAGCATTCAGTACATTTAGATAATATTCTCATATTTACTCAATTGCAAATTCTGTAAGTGCAGAATTATCATTTACAATTCTCTCTACTGCAGTGTTTAATACACTGTCTTGTACCAAGGAAACTAAACTGCCTTCCCTCTCTGCTTTACCTAACTCTGATTCATACTTCAGACTCAGAAAGACCTGTCCTGATTGCAGGGACACAGAAACCCCTTCTACATGTTCCAATAAGCACATGATGCCTGTCACACTTAACTTGATTACGAGTTTTTTTAATCTTCCTTACTAATGTATAAGCATCAGGATAAATCATTTATCTGTTGATTCACCATTGTATCATTATCAAATATCTTAGTGTCTAATACATGAGTGGTAGTCAATAAATATTTGTTGAATTATTGAAATCATTAAACAGAGCAGACCCAGTTGCCTAGATGCTAGTTGCTCGTATTCATAATTTTTTTATTTTTAGTTTTTGAATACATCATAGTCGTCCATATTTTGGGGTACATGTGAAATTTTGATATAAGCATACAACACATACAACACGTAATGATCAAATCAGGGTAATGGGATGCCCATCACCTCAAGCATTTATCATTTCTTTGTGTCAGAAACATTCCAATTCCCATCTTCTAGTTATTTTGAAATACACAATAAATTACTGTTAACTATGTTTACCCTATTGAGCTACTGAACATTACATCTTATTCCTTCTATCTAAATGTATTTTTGTACCTGTTAACAATTCTTTCTTCATCTCCCCCACCACTACCCTTCCAGACTCTGATAACCACAATTCTACTCTCTATTTCCGTAAGATCATTGTTTTACTTCCCAAACGTGAGTGGGAACATGCAATATTTGTCCTTCTGTGCCTGGCTTATTTCATCACTTCACATAATATCCTCCAGTTCCATTCACGTTGTTGTAAATGACATGATTTCATTCTTTTTATGGCTGAAGAATATTCCATTCTCTCTATATATGTACCACATTTCATTTACCCATTCGTCTGCTGATGGACACTTAGATTGATTCCACATCTTGGCTATTGTGAACAGTGCTGCAATAAACATGGAAATGCAGACACCTCTTCAATAGACTGATTGCTTTTCTTTTGTGTATATACCCGGTGGGATTGCTGGATCATATGGTAGGTCTATTTTTAGTTTTTTGAGGAACCTCCAAACCGTTCTCCATAGTGGTTGTACTAATTTAATTCCCACCAACAGTGTACAATGGTTCCCCTTTCTCCACATCCTTGCCAGCATCCCTTATTGCCTGTCTTTTTGATAAAAGCCATTTTAAGTGCGATGAGATGATAGCTCATGATTATTTTGATTTGAATTTCTCTGATGATTAGTGATGTTGAACTTTTTTTTAATACCTGTTGGCCATTTGTATCTCTTCTTTTGAGAAATGTCTGTTCAGATCTTTTGCCTATTTTAAAATCAGATTATTTGTTTTTTTGTTTTTGAGTTGTTTGGACTCCTTGTATATTCTGGTTACTAATCACTTGTCAGTTCGATAAACTGCAAATATTTTCTCCCGTTCTGTGGGCTGTCTCTTCACCTTGTTGATTGTTTCGTTTGCTAATTAAAAAAAAAAAAAGAATTAAGGCCAGGCACAGTGGTTCACGCCTGTAATCCCAGCACTTTTGGAGGCCGAGGCAGGCGGATCACGAGGTCAAGGGATCAAGACCAGCCTAGCCAACATGGTGAAACCCCGTCTCTACTAAAAATTCAAAAATTAGCTGGGCGTAGGGGCACATGCCTGTAATCCCAGCTACTTAGGAGGCTGAGGCAGAAGAATCACTTGAACCTGGGAGGCGGAGTTTGCAGTGAGCCAAGATCGCGCCACTGCACTTCAGCCTGGGGTACAGAGTGAGACTCTGGTCTCAAAAAAAAAAAATTAAAAAAGAAAACCTGACCTGTTAACTGAGTACATTTAAAGAGAAGCAGTGAGTAATTCATATTTGCACACTTAGCAATATTTTTTACGAATAGGAAAATTAGCCACTTTCATGTTATTAAGTATAAATCAGGAATGTGTATAAATGAAAGCAAACATCACTGTGAAACAAAAGCTCTAATCTCCACTTGTTCTGCCTTAAAGCCTTTTCCTTCAACTCTTGAAAAGCCCTTTCGTTTTTTCCCTCACCCTGATTGCAGGTAAAACATGACAATCAATCTTGCTTTGTGCTCCATCCTGTACTGGAAGCAGAAAGACTCCACCGTTCCTTTGATATCAGCCATCCCCTGAGATTACTCCTACTCAACAATGCGGCTCTTTCCTTGAGAACGGCCTTCAAAATCCTTATTCCTTTGTTAGTGATAATTCCTTGTACGATGTGATTTTTCTTAATGCTAGCTAGGATTGTGGTCTGGGTATTGCAGCATTTTGAAATTAAAATTGTGCTGAAGGGAGATTTATTTTCTCAACAGACATCTTTCTACAGTGGAAATACTTTTCGTTTTGAAAAATGAGTATATGACCTTATAAAGACTCAAAGTTAACACCAAAATACTAATTGCACAGACATTTCTCTGAGATTGATAGAGTGACCGTATTTTGTTAAGGTAAGAAATCCAGATAAAAGTACATGTTAACAACTCTACAATTATAGATAACTGTAAATACTGTGGTAATACTTTGAAATGTATACTGTATACCTGACTCTTATCTATTACAGTTTTATAAATAATACTGTATTATATACATAAAATGACAGTCAAGTTATGTTCTCTCAATAGGTTTAGCTTGTTGCTTCTCTGTTTATTTTCTATAAAATTGTTATTGATTTTTGTAATCATACCTTGATACAATCTAACTAAAAGAAATACAGTAAGTCACCGATTCTCCTGGACAAATAACTTCTCACTTGTGAAGTTTCTAGTCATCATTTCCTTAATTTTTTTTTCAGATCGATTTATTTTTATTTATTTATTTATTTATTTTTGAGATGGAGTCTTGCTCTGTCACCCAGACTGGAGTGCAGTGGCACGATCTCAGCTCACTGCATCCCCCTCCTCCTGGGTTCAAGCAGCCCTCCTGCCTCAGCCTCCTGAGTAGCTGGGATTACAGTTGCCCGCCACCACACCCAGCTAAGTTTTTGTATTTTTTGGTAGAAACGGGGTTTCACCATGTTGTCCAGGCTGGTCACAAACTCCTGACCTCAGGTGATCCACCCGTCTTGGCCTCCCAGAGTGCTGGGATTACAGGCCTGAGCCACCACACCGGCCAGATCTATTTTTTAAACAAAATGTTTAGTGCTTTTTAGAATTGATGGGACTCAGGGAACATTTTCTCGGGGCAATGGGGGCCACAGTGAAAGAACTATCTAAAATAATTTTAGCATCCACACCCGACTCCATTGTTTTTCAATGATACACATTCAAAAACATGTTGAGATAGAACAGTTCAAATCTTATACAATTTTTATAAGGAGAGAACTTCCTCCCCATGTTCCTACCGCTTCCTTTTGTCCCTCCTTATACCCTGGCCAGACCTTTTGCCTACAGAAATTATTTTTCCATTAGGTCAGTCGTTGGACCACATTTGCCAGTACATGGCCCAACCTGGTCTTACCGGGGAACCCAGGCCCTGCCCTGAGTCCCGTTGGTCCTCAGACTCCCTGCTGTAGCCTGGCCTGGCCTCTAAAGGTGGACTGCCAAGTGGAGGCTGTGCTGGAAATCCTCATCTCCCTCCACTCTTTCCAGCTTCTCAGCTAAGGCTGGGAGGGCAAATCAGGCCGCAGCCTCCTCCTCAGTCCAGCATCTTAGATGTAAGAGAGTGAAGAGGAAGCAAGAGTCCTCACGCAGGCCTCCTGGAAAAAGCCAGTTTTATTATTTATTTATTTTTATTTATTTTTTTTTTTTGAGACAGAGTCTCGCTCTGTTGCCAGGCTGGAGTGCAGTGGCTCGATCTCGGCTCACTACAACCTCCGCCTCCCAGGTTCAAGTGATTCTCCTGCCTCAGCCTCCCGAGTAGCTGGGACTACAGGCACCGGACACCACGCCCGGCTAATTTTTTGTATCTTTAGTAGAGACGGGGTTTCACCATATTAGCCAGGCTGGTCTCGAACTCCAAACCTCGTGATCCACCCGCCTCGGCCTCCCAGAGTGCTGGGATGACAGGCGTGAGCCACCGCGCCCGGCCAAAAGCCAGTTTTCAAATGCAGCTGGAACCAGAAGCGCTCTAGGGGCTCTGCTGAGGACGGGTCCAGCCAGAGAGACACTGGGTTTGATGTGTCGCTGAGTGTTGCTCTTTACACACGCAGCTCCTTCCATAGGAAACCCCAGGGAAAAGGAGGCTGGGTGGCAGGACTGGGGACAAAGCCCGCCCACTCCTACTTACTCTCTAAGAGTGAAACTGGAGCGCATGTCAGGGAATGGCTGGGCTTCCGTGGCCTCCCTTCAGACACAGGGACATCAGTCTTATAAAGACAATTCCAGATTCTCTTGTGTTAGTTCTGAAACTGCCTTAGTCCAAATTGCCTCAGAAACTAGGAAACTATGATATTCAGGTTAGAGTTTAGTGCTCATAGCCAAAATGAGTTGAAAAATAATAACGACAATAGTACAACATAGTGAACAATTTCTAGTGTAAAAAATTTTATGAAATTTTAAAAATAGGCTGGGCATGGTGGCTCACGCCTGTAATCCCAGCACTTTGGGAGGCCGAGGCGGGCAGATCACTTGAGGTCAGGAGTTTGAGACCAGCCTGGCCAACATGGTGAAAACCCGTCTCTACTTAAAAAAGGACAAAAATTAAAAAGAAATTTAAAAAATATATTTACGAGATAGCAATTATTATTACTCTGATTTTCCACGTTAAAAAAACAGCCTCAGGGAAATCAGCTTACCCAAAGGCAAATTCAAAATTCATGTTCTGAACTATTACATAATTTTCTGTCTCAATCAGATATTCTCTTAGAAGTCTATACTTCCCCGATAGTATCAATGCATGAAATTTTAACACAAAATGTATTCATCTGCCTCCCCCTAAAAAAATGGCAAAACAAAATAAAAGAAATGAAAAACAGGGGAGAGTAACACTTTAACACTTACCAATCATGTTTATCTCAAAGTGACAGATCATAACAAATCATAGACTAGATCCTGATAAAAGAGACTGCAATGTTTCTGTAGCATGTGAAGGATTGCAGAGCAAAAAAGACCTGTTCCGGACGATACACACTAAGTACTTCACAATTTTGCCTTATGCTAACCTTGCCTATAGGGACTTTTCTATTTTTTTTTTTTTTTTTTTTTTTTTTTTGAGACGGAGTCTCGCTCTGTTGCCCAGGCTGGAGTGCAGTGGCACAATCTCCGCTCACTGCAAGCTCCGCCTCCTGGGTTCAGGCCATTCTCCTGCCTCAGCCTCCCGAGTAGCTGGGACTACAGGCGCCCGCCACCATGCTCTGCTAATTTTTTCTATTTTTAGTAGAGACGGGGTTTCACCATGTTAGCCAGGATGGTCTCAATCTCCTGACCTCATGATCCGCCCACCTCAGCCTCCCAAAGTGCTGGGGTTACAGGCATGAGCCACGGTGCCCGGCCAGTTTCTTTTAATCTCACGCATGTCTTCTTTTTCTCCCTGTCCTCTGTCCTATTTGTGTTCCCTACAGTTCCTTCTTGCTCTCACTCTCTTCTCCCTCTTCATACTGCCCAACACACCTCATCAATGTTGAAACAAACTCAAACAACACATGTCTTTTTCCATCTTCCCTGTAACTACTATGCTCCACATTTCCTTAAATTCCCTTCTCCTGTCTGGTGTGGCCAAAAGAGAAAGAGAAGGGAAATATCACAGCATTCTACCACTGATGAGAAAACAGAAAAAGAAGTTCAAATATTTGTCTTTGGGTAAGCAGAGATATATATTCTCTTCCCGTCCTTATAAGAAAGTTGGTGCAGCTTCCTTGACATCTTGCCTTTACTGACATCAGAGAGTCCTTGATTCCTTATGAGGGTTACTGGCAGAAATGACCCTGATAGAAGCTATTTAAGTGACATGGTAACACAATTAGGATGCAAGTTATCTTTATGGAGGAAAACTTCTTCCAGAACCTGATATAGCATCTGTGTAACACAGTAAATGTCTGCTTGGAATCATACCAGGCTGAGTAGAAGCTCTAGAAAGCGCATAAACATCCCTCTTTCTCACATCCTTCTTTTCTTTCCCTTTCACACAGTGCCTAAGGGAGTGCGGTTTTCACAGTGAATTCTCAATAAACATATTTGAGGGTCTCTGTTGAGTGCGCAAAATATCGATGAAAGCCAAGTCATAAAGGATCAGGCTTCACTGGGGAAAAGGCCAAAGACATTTTCCTCTGCTCATCTCCCTCCTGGAGTGTTCAGGTAGCATGTTTCATTAAAGAGTTTTTTCCAGTAATCATTTCTAGCATCCAGTGATACAGAAAATAATACCTGAGTTTTCACCAGCATTTTACTCTTTCTTCGGCTTTAAGATGTTCAACCACATGAATAAATACCTGAATAAAAAGCAAACCTAGAGTAATCCTTTATCATTTCTCCTAACCCCTTTGATATGAACTTTAAGAACATCTACAAGCATGGTTGGTATTTAGATAATCCATCATTGTCAAAACATTTTAGTTCATATTTCTTTATTCTTATGACATATTTGTGAAACAGATCAAGAATTATAAACTCCATTTTGCAGCTAAGAAAACTAACGCTCAGGCAGATTAAGGGTATTGCACAAGACTGCGTCTCTTAGGAGAAACTGAGTTAGGACGGATCAAAGATATGCTTTCTTCCGAGTCTGTGACCCTTCCACCACAGCGTGCTGCCTGTTCCTAGGAAAGGGTGACACTGACCATAAATCTGTATTGAGGTTGGACTGAATAATATTCTCAATTAGTGGAGTTGACCTTCCATTCCCCTTTCCTCTTCAGGGTGAGACCTCGGCTCTCCTCACTTTCAGCTCCTACCTGCCCTCTAGAGTCGTATGTGTCCTCACGCTGGCCCTGGCTGAATAGGTTGCCCATTGCAAGGCCATTCTTACGCTTTCTACCCTGTGGCCCAGAAATTCTCCTCTTAATTCTGTCCCCTTCAGTGTTATTCAGACTGAATTGGCCTTGTGCATGGAACACCAGTTTCAGAGCCTCACTCACGGTAGGCACATGCAGGTATGGATTGAATGGAATTC